>NW_003315913.1:0-180671 GCF_000001405.40 Homo sapiens | reverse complement strand
TAGTGACATGACACACTAGTGTAGTGCTTACAAAATTAAAAGGATTTTTAGTCAGGAATCACTGTGAAAATGTTCAGACAATAGGACAATCAACAAAATGTGCTTCCTAGAGAGCTGCATTTTTAATGATTTTCTTACAAATCAGCACTTGCTGTCAAAATGAAGAGATTTCTAGGACTTGTTTTCCTAATTAGAACGGGTAGCCAGTATATTAAATGATGAAAAAGAACTGGAACCAGATTCAGTATCATGAAAAACAAATTACAAATTTTAAAATATATCAAGTTTACAGGAGATTAAATCAGAATTATGAAAAATACAATATTCTTAGTGTATGTAGTATAGCATATAGTATCAAATCTCCATTTAGATTTTATTTCTCAGAGGAAAAAAACAGATTCCCATGATACTTATTTTCATTTGTCATAGTCATGTTTGCGTTTTTAGCTTTGGGGTACTGAAATTGAGTGAAAGAAAAAGGGCTCTTTGAACATAATTAATTTCTCTCTACATTAAAAAAATCTTATTTTGTTTGTGGACTGTTGAAATTGTAATTCTTAATTGCCTTCTGAATCATGGAGAATTGAGAAAAATGTCTGGTCCCAACTGAGTAAGTTGTTTTTGGGTCAATTGGATGGTAGATTTTTCCCACACACATGCACATACTCATACATATACACATTTCTTACTACATTTTTAACTTCTTAGTTGGATTCAACTGACTATGCTTAATACTCAAAATTTATAACATTGTACCATGGATCTGTTTTCATAGCAATAAATTTTCAGTTTTTTGTTTATGATTCCACTCAACAAAAGGGCTACAGAAGTGATTTATTCTTTAGGTAATTTGAGATGATATATTTGAAAGTTTTTTGGAGAAGCTTTTCTAGTCCATACTCAAATGTTCTTCATTATTGAATGCATATTTAGATCAGATTCTTGAATTATAATATTGATCTGCTGCCTCCTTTAAAAAATATTTTTAAAAATGGCCTCCCAAAAGATAACTACATCCTAATCTCTGAAGGTTACTTTATATAGAAAAGGGTGGGGAAATCTGCAAATACAATTAAATTGAGGATCGTGAGATGCAGAGATTATCCTAGACTATTCAGGTGGACCCTCCTAAATGTAAACACATGTGTTTTTCTAAGAGAAGCCCATAGGGAGATTAGACACAGGCAGAGAAGAAGGCAATGTGAAGATGAAGCAGAAAGAGATTGGAAGATGCTGGCCTTCAAGATTAAACTGATCTAAGAATAGTCAAAGAATACTGGCAGCCACCAGAGGTTAAAAGAGGCAAAGAGCACCTTCTAGAGAGTCTCCAAGGGAGTCATGTCTCTTGCCTGTGACTTGGTTTGGGCCTAGTTAATACTAATTTCATGCTTTAGGACCCCAGAACTGTAAAAGAATAAATATCTGTTGTTTAAAGCGACTGAATTTGTAGTAATTTGCTACAATAGTCACAGGAAACTAATATAGGGTCCTTAGGGTTTATTTAGTCCAGTGGTTTCCATATATTTTTAGCAGCAAGTTTGTTCCATGTTTTTTCCTCTTCCCACTCACTACAACAATTTCTGTGCCTATCTGGAAAGTATCTTGCTTAATTTGCCAATAACCACTCTTATTTCTCAACTTTAATAAGCATTGGTTCTTATTAGAACCAACATAATTATAATAAATTATAAGTAAGGAGAAAATAGGCAGGATTACATACATTTTACATATTCAGGGTCTGCAAGTCAGAAAATTTAATAACTCTTCAAGGACACACATTAACTGCTACAAATGTTGCAAATGTAGATTTAGATAACTCAAATGACATTGTTCTTTGCTCCAAAACCACAAAATATCACAAATTACAATCCACTATGTAAGGGCTATACATACACATCACATATTTATAAATTCTTATCCAGCCAACTTACATACATATCTCTTATCCTAAGACCTAGACGTAAATAAAATGGTGAAGTCATGAATGATAAAGCTCCATGAATTCCATCCTCAATATGTTCATGAACAACTTGGACTCCAACATTTCGAAGTCTTGTAACATACATAAGTCCATCATCTCTTAAGAGATCATGTTGACAAGTAAGAATATAGGTTAGTGGCAAATTCTGTAACTGAGAATCATTGGCCAACAAGGGTAATGCTCTGCTGTCTGTAAGTCCTGGCAATGAATAACTAAGTCCTCCAAGAATTGGTTCAGTATATACATAGTCTTTTCTATACTTCTCAGGAAGAAGAATACTCCAGTTAACAAACTTAAACAGATGTCTTGACTCCAGAGGCATGTGTTGGTTTCTTCTCATTGCCCAGGGAAGTGCTTCATCCTTGGTGAAATATAAGCTCACGAGTTTTATGGCTACATCCCTGGTCAAAACTATACCATGCTCATTTTCTCGGTGAGATGGCAAATAAGAATCTGTTATCTGTAAGCCAGGGTAAAGTAAGACTTGCATCTTGATTTTATGTTTTATTTCAGCATCATTCTGCACCTGAAAATATATGGTAATATTCTGTAATGCAAACATTTCCAAAATACCAGGAGAAAAAAAATTTAATTATCTAGCAGTCATAAGATAAACAAATCTACATAAATTGATGTGATGTATCATAATTATTTTTATAATATTTATAATATATTACCATGGCATAAAAAAATTCAAACCAATTTAAATTTAAGGTTTTAAAAAATATTGATTTTTTGTGTGAGGAAAAAAGGAGAAAGTATAAGAGAGGAGAGGGAAAGAGACAGAAAGAGAATGTACAAGGCGAGAGAGATACACAGGATTTTTTGGTCAAAAATCACAAATGAAAATGATCCAATTCTAAAGATATTTCTAGTGGAAATTGGCAGTACATATAGTTTTGTAAAAATCCTTCTTAAATAAAGTAACCAGAGTGAGTGGAAGAAATAAATATAGCTATTAAATCATATTATTTCATTATAGAATCTAAAAAAAAATCTTAAACATTTTTAGAATATATTCTTTGGAAACAAGGTGGACATTACCAACATCATACCATAATTTTTAAGAAACATTATCCCAATGCAAAAGCACGTGGACCAAGGTGAAGAAAAAAAAGGCCAATCAACAGGTATCTTATGAGAATGATGCAGTGTTGGAGAAACAAAGGGAGAAAATTATGAAAAAATCGATGTGCACAAGTCTGATATGCAAGGATAAAATGTGAAGTACTTGATAAGGAGTGCCTTTTCTTTTTCAAAGAGAAAGGCATTTGAGGTCTCACCTATGACCCTGCAGACTGCAGGAGATAACGTTGAATTAATCTCCCAAGAGCTATTGCCTTGGCTAGAGTCTGGGATCTGGACAAATGAAAATACCTGCTGCTGCTACAAGTGAAAAGCTCAGGACCACAGGATGTACCTCTAAGTCACCCAGTCACCACAGTGGCTGGCTGAACTGAAAGGAAAAACTAAATTGAAATCCAAGAGGTACCTCAGAAAGGGAAATGGTATCCTACCATCTCTACAGTGTACTTCCAAGATGCTAGAGGTTTAATAAGTGTAGAATGAAAATGAGCCAAAACAAAGTTATCTTACAGAAACTTTCCTAGATCCCAAATCTCTCTGCCATGCCCTTAGGTAGATAATTTACTAATCAAAGATTGCTATCAATAGCCCACCCTCAGTCATCCTACTCTCAATCTCGCTAATCTAGGAAAAAAACAAACAGAGAACACATAAACAGGGACAGGTCAAAAAGTGTCCATCAATAACCTTGCCTGACCCTAACTTTCCTTTCTGGAATGCCATATGAAATAAGTCACTTCAACAAATGTGTCAGTATTTCCCATCTCTATGTTCCCCATTATGTCATTTGTTACTTTGCCATTCAAGGCTTTTTTCCTCTAACATTCTTCAAAACCCATGCTAAAGTCAGTTCTCTTCAAGATATTGGAAAAGCACCTGAGTCAGATTCTCCGAGGTTGGCAATTTTGCCATAGTCTTAACAACTATGTTATTTATCAGGTGTGTTTCAGATATTTTCTACACATTTTATATATACTCACAAGCATATATGTGTGATTCTGCATGTAAATACCTGATCAAAGGAAACTCTTCTTTTTTAAATTCCCAAATCTCTATTACCTCTTTAAGGCCAGTCGTCACTTTTCCTTTATTATACAAAAATGTACATGATTAATCTTTCTACTTGGTTTTGAATTTCACAAACACTGACATGATACCTAAGTTGTCATTGTACCCCTTACTGGGCCTAAGATAATAAAGTCATTAATATCATATGGGAAAATAGAAAAATGAATATTTTAATAATATGGAAACCATAATATTAAAAACTATAATATCTGATGTATAATTCTTTTAACAGGACACTATATCTGGAGCCAGGAATAATAGGATCCGAGAAACAGTAACAAGTATAAAACAAGTAGGTCCCAACAGTAATGCTGAATTATTGACCTATCTATAGCTTAGTTCTTTCCTCCTAGACCTATATGGTCTCGAAGATAGCCAGCTAAGCAAAGTTCAAAAGTGCACATAAACATTAATACTAAACCAAAACAAGCCTAGAATGGAGCATTCTATAAAATGGACATGAAGGAATGGATATGTATTTCTGATTTTGTGGGTAACTGATATGTACTTGAGTGCAAAAAAATGTGACATTCATCTCAGGATGTTATTACTTTGTAAAGAACAAGAATGAAAAAGTAAAAGGTCAAAATTTGAGAGAACATATCTGGCTCACGGTAATGTCCTTAGAGTTTAGACACTGGTAACTGTATTTCAAACTTCTATTTACCTTTTTATTATATTTCCAATATAATAAAGACCTTTGGATAGCTAAGTAACTTAAAGGTTGTGGAAGAGCTTCAATAAAGCCCATCCTTATTCTTAATCTTTTTCAACAATGAACTTTATTTTCATGAAAACACAATGGATAGTATGCATTTGAACTTTCCTTTTATAATTAAATATCATTAATCCTAAACTTATGGTATTTACAGTAAAATTGTCTCATATAAATTATTTGCTCTGCCCCTCCCTTATTAAGTCCCCCAGTTTGAATCTCTAATTGGTTCAAGTTATAGGCCGTGTTTTTCAAGTTATAGGCCATGCCACTGGTATTATTGTCATCAAGAAAGTAACTTATTTATACCATGATGAAGACTGGTCTCCTAAGTTTATACTTTTGAGAGCAAAATTTGGGACCCAGTTCATGAAAAGCTTCTATGCCATGCTAAAATGCTTGGAGTAAACATGTGGACCAGCACGATTTTCACTCCTACATCAGTTTTTTTCATTCGCAAACATCCCTCCTGGACAGCATGAATTGGGAGTGGTGGCTGAAAGGAAGCTGGTAACAAAGTCAGAGAAGGGATGATCCATGACTTCATGCCCTGTGTCATTTTATGACTCAACTGCTTCAAAGCCCATTCAAAGCAGTAATCTGCCATGGACACCTGCACTTGGCATAAAGTCAACTCCAGACAGTCTGAGGCATTACTGAATCCTCTCCCATTTCCCAAGTGCCCTGTGACCATTCAAAGGGCATGGCACTTTCCTAGAGAATAATGGTTTCCGCTGCCAAGGGAACATATTACGGCCCTTGCACTTTGCCCCCCATCATCTACTACCCTTCTCAATCCAGTTACTTGTTCACAAGATACCCTACCATCTAGCTCCCTGGTTTGAGTGTGTGTTATTCAAATTCCTGCATGCCCACACCAACTTATCCATAGCCTGTCATCCATGGAAGGATGGATGTAGACAAAATATTAACTTGTTATTTGAGGAGTTCCTACATTGCTAATGGTAAGTATTGTTCACCAAACTTCATATCTGTCATTTTCAACCCAGAGCACTCAACTTCATAGAAACTGTGATTGCTATCCCCACTAATTTTCCTTTCTATGAACTACCCCTAACAACTCCAAACTTGATTCCAACAATACACAACTAGCCAATGAGTATCTGGATAAACTATGAACCACCATGAAGAAATTCCAAATGGGAGGATTTTTTGGCCTCATCCTAGCACGCATGTTCCAACCATGCTGGAAACTGCAAAACTCCCACATGGGCTAGAGTCCAAGATAATCAACCTGCTCTCCTCCTTGCAGATTAATCCTGTCCTTTCCTGATCTTTATTCTTCCCCTAAAATCCCACTTCCCACTTTATGTCCTAAAAGTGTGACAGTAAAACAGATTATATCACTCAGAAGTGCAGGACTCACAGTGATACCACTTCCAGGTGCAAGTAAAAGAAGACAGATATTTCTGCTTCTGATGGACTTCAGGTGACCTCTATAACACTGATATGCAGTGATTACACAGAGGTAAACAAACAAAATAACAGAAACTAACATACATACTATCTATGTATGGGACATCATCCCATGTCCAAGAATGCTGCATGTCAATCATGTTTTTCTAAAAATCATCACCATTAATTATAATTTCTGATTAATATTTGCTATTAAACTGTTTTTAAAGAGTTTTTTATATTTTTAAAGAAGTGTCACATATGTAATATATACAGCCATAGAAATATGGGATGCCATAGAAATATTATTATAAATAAGATCATACGGCTTTATTACCACCTTATGACAAATGATACAAATTAGAAACAAAAGTGTATTTAGAAAGACCAAAGCTATAAACCTAAATAAGTAGAGCTATTGCATATCACAGCTTCCTCTTTAAATTACCTACATTGAAATACTTATTTTTTAGAATATCTAAGAGAGTAGGACTTACTAATTACTTCAAAATATCAAATCAATTCCCATTGTTTTATGAAAGTAAAAAGAATATCTCTGATCCTAAATAAGAGCAATGCATACATTCTTTTAAAATAAAATGTGGCCATGAAATTGGATTTAAGTGATATGATTAAAGTTTAGAAATAGTTTTTCCTCTTAATTAAAGATTAAGGCACCATGTCCACAAGAGTTTTCTAAGCTATAGTGATCATCCAGATCGTTGTGACCAGCAAGCCACATCAGTGATTTTAGGACACATCATGTGATGTTGCCAGGAAATCTAGCAATAATAGGTTAAATATATTCATTTCTTCTCAATAATAAGAATACAATTGAAAAGTGGACCAAGTCCACAAGAGAAAATGACAGGGTAATGTATGTGTCCTAATCCATGAGAAAATCCTTTTATAATGTGAATTGAAACAGATGAGTCATTTTTTAAAATATATCCCTCAGTGGTGATTATTGATACCGAATTTTTAAAGCCATAATCTATAACATATTATCAATCACAGGATCATGAGACATTGGAAAAAATGAGCTCTATAATAATTTCAAAGTAAAAGTTGATTCTTATGACCCAAAATAAACACAGTACAGGTAATAAAGCTTTTCAATGAATATGTAATTCATATAGAAAGTTTAGCAGTCCATGAAGAACAAATAACTTAAAGTATAATCACAAAAGTAAATAGGAAAGGATAAAGAAAATCACCTTTTTAAATGCTCATTAAGTACACTGAGTTCTTCTGCAGCCTGTTCATCTGCATACTACACTATGTTCCCTTTGAACAGATAAATCAGAATGTCTAAATAGATACTAAGTTCTTATATAATTAATTAAGAAATAGAATGGTGTTAGATTTTTGTGCACTTTTGTGCTGCCCTACAGATTTTACTAAGAATCACGTCTCTGTTTGGTGCCTGTGTTATTAAGTATTGTCCTGCTGAAAAGTTATAAGGTAGGGTATCACATATTCACGAATCTGTATGGCTACATCCAATTGTTATTTCTTTTTTCTTTCTTTCTTTTCTTTTTTGTTTTTTAGAATTAGGGTCTTCCTCTGTCACCCATGTTGCATTGCAGTGGTGTGATCCTAGCTCACTGCAAACCCCGAACTCCTGGGCCCAAGCAATCCTCCTGCCTCAGTCTATTGAGTTGCTGGGACTACAGGAGTGTACCACTACCTCTGACTATTTTTATTTTTATTTTTCCTAGAGTGGTCTTGAACTCCTGGCCTCAAGTAATCCTCCCCACTGGGCTTCCCAAAGTGCTGGGACTACAGAGGTGAGCCAATACATCAAGCCCAATTGTTGTTTCAGTTATGCTTGCTACACTTGCAAAGCCAAGCAAATGTTACAAATGTGCAAGAAATTAGAGGTATGGTAAGATGTTGCTTAATCACTATTGGGTAATTGTTGGACAGCTTTCAGAATCTCTACATTCCCCAAACCGGTTTCAGATGAAATTTTAGACCAGACTGCTATGCAATTTTACATAGTAATTAGTATAATAATCTCTAAGCAGGGCATTCTCCAATTTTTACCCTCCATCATACTCCTCATTTTACTCCAGTAAGATCTTTCAAATAAATGACATTATTTCAAGTAAATAGCAAATAAGTTCTGTCTGGAAGAGTCCTAAGGAATCAACATGTCTAATGGTTTGCAAACTTTCTTCTTGGCAATGAAGTCCTCTTTTATTTTTCTCCTAAGAAAATTTACTTAGAGCTCTAAACATGAAGGGCAACTAAAGTGTAACAGGTTGGGTTGAAGGGAGGCCCAGGTATAGAACCAAAGGTGAAGCTTTGTTATCACTACAATTTTGGTTTCACAATAGGGTTTTGTGTGTATGATGTCATAGATTAATATATACGTATAGGCATATGTACATGTACATGTATATGTATGTATGTGCATATATACTTATGTATGTATAACGTGTATTTCAAGTGTATATGTATATAAAAATATGTATGTATATAAACTTCTTCTAGTGCTCTAATCCTGAATCTTATAATACTTAAAAGGAAAGAAATTTTAAAAAATAAATAGAGAGGCACCTAGAGTAAGCTTTTGGCTCAAGTTTTTATAACTAAAGTCATATTTTAAAAAGTACAGAGCAGTGTTTCTCAAAAAGAAGTCTGAAGAAGACTAGTTTCATCTTTTTTTTTTAAATAGAAAGGTAGACAAGTTGACATAAGGAGTAGACATCAGGAAAAAACCAGCACTCTTGAAAAGTGGCAAGATCATGAAAGATAAGAAAAGGCTGGCAAACTATTCGTTAGGAACATAGATGCGTAGGTGGAGGAAGTGATGAACAGAGACTCATAGGTGAACTTAGGAACCTGGATGCACAGGTGGCGGAAGCTGACGTAATGAGTAAGCATCACAGAAAAATCCCCAGCACTGTTAAAAAATGTTGAGGTCATGAAAGGCAAAGATATTCTGGCTAATTTTCCGTTATGAACATAGGTGCAAAAATTATAAGCAAAATACTAGCAAACCGAATTCAACAGCACATTAAAAGGATCATACACCATGTTCAAGTGGGATTTATCCCAAGGATGTTTCAATACACACAAATCTATCAAGGTGATATGCCATAGTAAGAGAATGAAGAATAAAACTTACATGAACATCTCAACAGATGCAAAAATGACTTGACAAAATGCAATATCTTTTCATTATACAAACTCTCAACAAATTATATGTAAAGTACCTCAACATAATAAAGGCCATATAGACAAGCTCAAGGCTAACATCATACTCAGTGATAAAAAGCTGAAAGCTTTTCCTCTGACATCAGGAACAAGACAAAGATACCCATTCTCACTATACCTATTTAATAAAATACTAGAAGACCTAGTCAGAGAAATTAAGAAAACAAAAAAACAAACAAAAACAGAAATAAAAAGCATCCAAATGAGAAAGAAGTAAAAAAAGTCTGGGCCGGGTGCAGTGGCTCACGCCTGTAATTCCAGCACTTTGGGAGGCTGAGGCTGGCAGATCACAAGGTCAGGAGATCGAGACCATCCTGGTTAACATGGTGAAACCTTGTCTCTACTAAAAATACAAAAATTAGCCAGGCATGATGGCGGGTGCCTGTAGTCCCAGCTACTCGGGAGGCTGAGGCAGGAGAATGGCATGAACCCGGGAGGCAGAGCGTGCAGTGAGCAGAGATCATGCCACTGCACTCCAGCCTGGGCAACAGAGGGAGACTCTGTTTCAAAAACCAAAAAAAAAGTCTATTTTCATATTACATGATATTAGATACAGAAAACCCTAAGACTCTACCAAAAATCTGTTAGTACAAGTAAATAAATTCAGTAAAGTTGCAGGATACAAAATCAACATAGAAAAATCACTTGCATTTCTATATACCAACAACAAACTATCTTAAAAAGAAATTTTAAAAAATCCCATTTCAATAGCATCAAAAATAAGTACATAAAAAACACCAGGAATAAATTTAACCAAGGAGGTAGAAAGATCTATACACAGAAAGCTATAAAATATTAATGAAAGAAATAGAAGAAGACACAAGTAAATGAAAAGATTAACCATGTTTCTGGATCCAAAGAATTAATACTGTTAAAATGTCTATACTACACAAAGCAATGTACAGATTCAATGCAATTCCAATCAAAATTTCAATGGTATTTTTTACAGAAATAGAAAATTAATATGGAACCACAAAAGACTGAATAGTCAATATAATCTTGAGTAAAAAGAACAAACCTGGAGGCATCATAATGCCTGATTTCAAAATAAACTGCAAAGCTACAATAATCAAAACAGTATGGTACTGGCATATAAACAAACATATAGACCAATGGAACAGAATAAAGAGCTAAGAAATAAATTGTTGTCTTAGTTCAGTTAGCACTACTACAATAGAATGCCTGAGACTGGGTAATTTATTAAAAAATTTTTATCTCACAATTCTAGTGGCTGAAAGTTTCAAGATTGGGTATCTGCATCTGATAATGGCCTCTGGCTGCTTTAACTCATGAAAGAGAACCGGGTATCTGCATGTGCAAAGAAATCACATGGCAAGAAAGGAAGCAAGAGAGAGAAACCAAGGAAGCCAGATTGTTTTTAATAATCTGCTCTCTGACAAACTATTTCATTCCCTGGAGAGCAAGAATTCACTCATTCATTCCCTCTGAAGGGCATTAATCTATTCACGAAGGATCCACCCTCCTGTCCCAAACACCTCTCACTAGGCTCAGTCTTTCAATGCTGCCACATTGGGGATCAAATTTCAACATGAGCTTTGACTGGGAAAGACCAAGCTATAGCAATGGTCAATTGATCTTTGACAAAGGTGCCAAGAACACACAAAAGGAAAAGACAGTCTTTTCAATAAATAATGTTGAGAATTCTCATATATCCACATGCAGAAGAATGAAATTGGACACTCATTTCATTTCATATACAAAAATCAACTCAAAATGATGAATCAAAGGTCTAACACTTAATATAAAACTGTATAGCTACTGGAAGAAGGCTTAGAGAAAAATGACTTTATATTAGTCTAAGCACTAATTTGGGAGGTATGACTCCAAAAGTACAGGCAACAAAAGCAAAAATAGATATATGGGATTGCCTCAAACTAAAAAGCATCTGCACGAAAAAAGAAACAATCAACAGAGTGAAGAGACACTCTACAAAGTAGGAGAAAATATTTCAAATCATGGGTTCAATAAGGGGTTAATATTCAAAATGTATAAAGAATTCAACTAAATGGCAAGAAAACAAATAACCCAATTTAAAAAATGGGAAATAGAACTGAGTAGACATATGTACAAGGACCCCTTGTACATTGTTGTTGGAAATGTCAGTTAGTATATCCATTATGGAAAACAGTATGGAGTTTCCTCAAAAAATTAAAAATGGAACTACCAGATGATTCAGCAATACCACTTCTAGGTATCTATCCAAAGGAAACAAAGTCAGTAATGTGAAGAGATATCTGTACTCGCATATTCATTGAAGCAGTATTCACAATAGCCAAGATATGGAATCAAACTGTTTGTCAGCCGGATAAATGGATAAAGAAAATTTGGTGTGTGTGTGTGTGTATCTACACACACACACACACACACAAACACACACAATGGAATATTATTCAGCCTCCAGAAAGAAGAAAATCCTGTCATTGGTGACAACATTGATGAACCTGGAGGTCCTTACACTGAATGAAATAAGTCAGACAAATATTGCATAATCTTGCTTTTATGTAGAACCTAAGAAAGTTAAACCCCTAGAAGTGGATAGTAGAGTGGTGGTTATGAGGAGCTGGGGATATAGATGAAAGGGGATGGAGATGGGGAGAACAGGGAGATATTGGTGAAAGGTTACAAAGTTTCAGTTATGCAGGATGAATAAGTTCTGGAGATCTAATATTAAGTGCGGTGACTATAGTTAATAATACTGCGTACTCGAAATTTGCTAAGACAGATCTTAAACATGCTCACCATAGAGAAAAAATAAATGGTAACTATGTGAGGTAATGATTACGTTACTTAGCTTTTGTTAATTGTTTAAAAATGCATACATATATCAAAACATCATGTTGTACATCTTAAATACATATGATTTTTCCTTTTCAACTGTACCTCAATACAACCTCACAAAAGAGAAAAAAACAGAAAATAAGAGAGTTGGAATTCTTCCCAAATTATTTAATGAGGCTAGTGTAATTTTTCTCTCAAAACCTGACAAAGACAGGTGGCAGAGGTTGCAGTGAGCTGAGATCGCGCCACTGCACTCCAGCTTGGGTGATGGAGCAAAACTCCATCTCAAAGAAAAAAAAAAAACCTGACAAAAAGTGTTAAAAATTAAAGATTAATCTCAAAAATACAAAACATTTAATGAACTAAAGCAAATGGAAAGCAGCAACATATAAAAATTTTAATTCATCAAGACCAAGTAAGGCTCATGCCTAGAATGTAAGCATAATTTAACATTTAAAAGTCAATTGGCATAATTTACCACACTAAAATAATAAATAAGAAAAATTACATGATCATCTCAATAGTTGGAGTAAAAACATTTGACTAATTCAAGACCCATTTATGCAAAAACTATCAGCAAACTAGGAGTAGAAATAAGTTCCTCAATCTGACAAAAGCTAACTATGAAAACCTTCAGTTAATACTATATTTATTGATGAAATATTGAAAAATTTCCTCCAAAAATACAAAGCAAGAGAGTTATATTAAATATTTTACTAGAGGCCCCAGACAGTGCAATAATAAAAGAAAAATTAAAAGGAACAAGTACTGGGAAGCAAGAACTAAAACTGTCTCTCGTCATTGAAAATATAGAAAATCCTAGGAAACTAAAAAAAAAAAAAACAAAAAAAACACAGAACACTAGCGTTATAAGTGAGTTTATTGAGGATATGATGGGAAAAGGCCAATATCAAAATCAATTGTATTTCTATATAGCATAGAAATAAATTACAAATTACAAATTCCAATATGTTCCAAATAAACATTCAGAAAATAGTATTTTAATAAAAATTTTAAAAAATACCTCAGGGTAAAATTTGAGAAAAGATTTCCATGATTTCTACACTGAAAATAGTAAAATATTGCTGAGAAATTGAAGAGGATCTAATAAAGTATGAGACATGCCATGTACATTAATTGGAAATCTCAATATTGTTGACACGTCAATCCTCCCCAAAGTTATAGATTCAATGCAATCCTAATAAAAATTCAGTTAGTCTTTCTTTTTAAAAATTGATAAGATAATCTAATATTTTAATGGGAAAGATATGGAATACTAGATTTTTTTTTAAAGAAGAACAGTTGAAGTCAGTGTAGTATTGGCAGTAGGATAGACATGTAGATCAATGGAACAAAATAATCCAGAAATAGTCACATTAAGGTTAAATAAATGTTTACTCAAGTGCTACTGTAATTCAATGGGAAAGAATGGTCTTTTCAACAAATGGTGGGGGAAGAACTGAATTATCTATAGAAAAAAAATGAGCCTCAATTTCTGCCTCCTATCATAAAAACAAATATAATGTACCTGTTGAGTGACCGCTGTTGCTAAATTGCCCCCAGAACTGTCTCCCGCAATGCAGATTCGGGTGGGATCCACTCCATATTTTGTAAGAATTTTTTCCAAAAGAAAAAATTTGACTGCAGCAAGGCCATCTTCAAACTGAGCAGGAAAGTGGTGTTGAGGAGCCAGCCTATAGCTTTAAAGAAAGAATAATAAAGCATTTATGGTTGTATCTGTCCATCTAATTCTCAAATACCAAATAGATGCAATTTAATGCCAGTCTTTATTGTTCAGTCTTCTAAAAATCAAGCCTAAGTTTTCTACTAACTCTTGATTAAAATGAAAATTATTTTAATAAAGTATAAGGTTTTCAATCTTGTACCTAAAATCCATGAATGGAATTATTTGTGAGGAGTCAGGGGAGTGTTATGAACTTCCTAGGAATTGTAAGCAAAAATTTTAGTCCAAGTGTATTTTAGAATGGAGATGGTGTATAGCTTACATCATATTCTCAATGTAACTTGTAATCCAAACATTTTTTTAAAAATGCTTGTTTAAAAAGCACAATAGGCTGCAGATCTGAGAGCATATTGTAGGCAGTGTCCTATTTTATCAAGGACATTTAGGTAAAAATTTTATAAGCTGACGGTGCATATACTTCATCATGGATAATACCCAGTAGTTATTACTAGATAAAAATTTTGATATATAAATAAAATTTAAATATGCCAGAGAGCTTGCTTATTTCTGGTAAATTCATTTGTAAGGCAAATTATCACACTCTTCTTTTCATGGGCACAAATTATTTTTTCCCCAGTGTGTGTAGAACAGTAAGACAGGAAAATACATCTAGCAGTCAATTCATAGAGCTTTTTCTTTTTGATCTTCAGAATGCTAAAACATGTATATTTCTATAGCCAATATGAAATGTTGGTAATAGGGTTCTTAGAATTTTATTATAAACTATCTAGAAAACTCTAAGTAATTTGTAGCTTAGACATAGATGTGTACCAAAAAGATGTTGGTATCTTTATTTAAAATGCAGTGGATTTATACTTTTTGGACAAAGAACAACACAAATTTTAGGGATTTGATAGAATGTATAAGCCAGGCACAAACATATTATTATATCAAAACAGATATAAAATAGTATTTAGATTACTTCAAAAGCTATGAAATTAAACTTTTCTTGCCTGCTCAAATACAATCCAGTATCCCAAATGTGTAATAGTTAATATACTTCCTTCTGTCCAGCTGTGTTACTTGGGACACTACTAGGGCCTTATAGGACCTGAGTCTTACGTGTCTAGAGCAAGTGTTTCCAAAACTGCTTACTCTGGGGTATAATTCAGATATTCTCACAATCACAGAAAAATAATGGGACACTGAACCTCTTTGAGGAGCAGTCTATGTTGCAATGGTGACAAGTAAAATATATTAATTTAAAAAATTATATTTGAAGCATAGCTGACTTGATGTGGAAATCAAACCTCTACATGGTAAAGGCAAAAATCATAGTAGCCAGAAAAAAATCATTCTTACTCCACGCCTACAACAACAGCATCAAGCGTGTTTGCCGTCCATCTATTCAGGAAGTCAAAAGCCCTCTGTTCTGAAATGAAGAAATAAACATCAAAGTATTTCCTGTAATTAAAAAGCTATAGAAACAGTTACAGATATGAATGTGGAAATAACTGTGGTTTGTGAATATCACATAGCTTTTATTTCCACCCCCCATTTCCAAGCAGATGGACCTGAATCCACGTGGCACACTCTCCCCTTCCTAGTCTTTTCAGCCACTCTTTCCAGGAGGAAAAGGATGACTTCACCAATTGATTATTTTGGGGAGGATCAACTAGAATAGGCTCAGCCTATTGTAATATCGTCTTGACATCTGCTGTCTGTACACAATGACCCTTCCCAGGACCCTTTGTATCCTGGTGCATTTTACTTCATCTGAAATAATGGTAATGGTTTGACTTGCATTTATGTGAACTCTGGGTGTAATTTTTTAACTGGTTCAGAAGTCGGAGGAAAAAGAAAGTAATAGTATGTATTGAGTCTCTAAACATCGTTCTTCAAAACCTCTTGTCTTCTTTGAAGATGCCACATAATAAAATAGTCCAATAACATTGGCATTAAGACAGAGTCTAAGGAATAATAACTAGATATGAGAGAGCCTCTGGCAGGTCAGTGTGAAGACTTGATATACATATGAGTTTTGACATGCTTGATGTACAAGCTATTGACTTTCCCCAGACACATAACACACACACACACATCTTTCCCCAGGTCCCCACATATCCTATTTACCAGGGCCCTGGCCAAGCACCTTGGCAAATTCTGTAACATCTGCTGCTGCTTTATTTACCACAAGATCCTAGAAATCCAAAGAATTCTAGAGTTGTGATCAAATTCCAGACTTCTCTGGACCTTCTCTTGCACATTAACAAAACTGCAAAGTGAAAACTAACCACAGGGTGTATATATAACCTGGAAAACAGGAAAGTAAGTCACCTAGTCTTTTAAATAGAAAAAAATAATGTTTTATTAAAGATTAAGTTAATTTTCAAGAAAAGGCCATGCATAGATGAAGACCAAAATGTACAAGACCTAAGAACTCTCTGAACTTCACCTTGTTAACGAAAGAGCATGAGATCTTCAGAAGAAAATGGGAGAGCTTTAATTTCTATTAAAAAAAAAATCTGCAGATTAGGGAGACATAGCCTTCCATGTAAAACAAAAGTGTGCTCCAGAGACCAAAAAGAGGGTCTGTGGCTTAAATATGGAGAATCAGCTGGCATCCCTCAATCACAATCAGGTATATATATGTAAATAAAGGATTCAAACTTATTCAAATAGTTTAAAACAGCTGATTCCTGATTGGGTAGTTTCCAAGCCCCAAACCAAAAGTCTGTTAGATACCGCTTTCAAGCAACTGGTGGGATGAGTTTTCTAATCAGGGTGTTTCAGCTTGGAAACATCTTAGCTCAGGGGCGCAAACAGGATGTTTGGAGCTGCCTTCTCTGGGAACAAAGTGATGTGTGACCACCCTTTTCTCACTCATTATGGACACTGAGCTCTTAGTGTCATAATTTGGGTTTCTTTATCAGCCACAAGAAATCCGTTTCATCCAGAGACCTTGAGGTCTTATTTCCAGTTTCATTTCATAACCTTTAAAGCCACTCAGTGATGTATTTCAAATCTATGTCTTCATTTTTATCTCCCAATCCTTTTTGTCTTAGAATTAAAGCCATATTTTTGTTTGCTTGTTTGTTTCCCATTTTTATCTCAAACTGTCTGTACTCATAGAATATTTGCTGATATAATCTCTCTGGTCTTGTTTCTTTTATTCCATGCCTTTTTATTGTTATAGTGTCTGTAGAATGCGTATAGAAACAAAAAGATATGAGGATAAATGTTGAAAAACAAAAAGATATGAGGATAAATGTTGAAAAACAAAGATCACAAAAGTATATAAAAAGTCTACTAGAGCAACATTTTCCTATATTTCTTGGTTCTCAAAGCAACTTATGTATGTTTTAGAGAAGACAAAAGAGGAAGCCTAGGGGGAAAAGAAAGAAAATTAAAATTTGCAAATACTAGAAAATAGTTATAATGTCTATTTTTTCTTGGTGAAAATTAGAAAGTATCTAAGTCTTTTCCAGTGTATTCACATATGTTTGGGAGATCTGAAAACAAATAATGTGTAAATATAAAACCAAAATATTGACAAAAGACATCTAGAATTTAGCTAAGCAGAATGTTGGAATGTCATATCCTGAATAATAATTCTCACAGTTTTAGAAATTACTGATCACAATCATTGCCTATGTCAGTAAAAAGAGATATAACCCTAATAATCAGGAATACTTCTTAGTATTTTTCAATCAAAGTGATATTTTCCTGTCAGTGGCCATTTCTTTTGTGCTTACTCAAGTCCTAGGTAATATGTATATGAACACTTGGATATTTCATACACCTCGTAAAAACTTCAGTGGAATGAATGCATTTCTTTGGAGAGAAATGAGGCAAACTTGGTATTTATCTTATCAAGAAAGCAGGTTATTCGACCATTTTAACACATGATATAAATTAAATTATAGATGAAATATAGATGAAATCCAATGTATTGAAAACATTAAGAAGGTAAAAAATACATAAAAGAAATGGATTAGAACATTTTGGATAATAATCCCTCTAGAGATCATCAGATGTCCCTCTCATTCACTATGTGTGTGTCTTTTTTCTTCACAAAAACATTTATTGAATAATCACTGTAAGAAAAATGCCTAAAAAGACAAGTAGGGAACCGAGATTTTATGGGAAGAGTTTATTATTACATAGTACTATTTTGTGTTTTCTTTTTAGAGTCAATACTAACAACTGCATTCTAAGCCTTACCAGTATTTCTATTATGTTATCAGTAACTGCAAACTTGATCTTGTAGCAACCAATAGCAAATGCTTTTGACTTGTTAATTAAAACATCTGCATCCCCTCAATGTTTCTGCTCCTGAATTCAGATCCCAAGAAAAAAGTTTAATAACTGACTTTATATCCTATTTTCCTTTGATATATGTTCATTCAATATGAAAGCTAAGGATAATAAAAAAACAAAACAAAAACTGAATTTAAAATCCCCATAATATTAGTTGCCAAACATATGTCTATGTCTCTTTATTAGATGTCTCATATTTATATCTATACTTATCCATATCCAGACAAGTATATATATAGATGTATGTATCAGTATAAGTGTGTATATTTATATAAAATAGTTCTTATATCAAAAATGTAGAGCTAGCTACACTTTTTCCTTATACAATGAACTTACTGGAACTTCCAAAACAAAAACCACCACCATGAAAATATATCACAGCTCGCCTTCGGGTTTCTGACTTTCTTTTTGGCAAGTACAATCGTACTGGAATGTCAACAAATGTTGTATCAGTCACTGTGATGTATTCATCTGAAAGTGGTTGGGTATAATCCAGCCTGAATATCATGGATATAAACTCTTCATATCTCATAATACGCATATTTTCAAAACACATAGCCTGTAAGAACAAAACAAACAAAATTAAATATTTAGATATTTAAATAACACCAAATATATTTAAAAAGAAAGTTAAAAAGGAAGAAAAAATAAGCAAGGTAAACAAAAAGAAATAGACTATTTAAAAATATTATTTCCAAATAATACTGTAAAGATCTTATTGCATAACCTTCTTGCCCTTGAAAATCTCAAATATCTGGCAAGCTGGCCGAATAGGAACAGCTCCGGTCTGCAGCTCCCAGTGAGGGCAATGCAGAAGGCAGGTGATTTCTGCATTTCCAACTGAGGTACCCAGTTCACCTCATTGGGATTGTTAGGCAGTGGGTGCAGCCCACAGAGGGCGAACAGAAGCAGGGTGGGGCATTGCTTCACCCAGGAAGTGCAAGGAGCCAGGGGACCTCCCTCCCCCACCCAAGGGAAGCCGTTGAGGGACTGTGCTACCCAGCCCATATACTACGCTTTTCCATGGTTTTTGCAATCTGCAGATCAGGAGATGCTCTCATGTGCCTACAGCAGGGCCCTGGGTTTCAAGCACAAAACTGGATGGCTGTTTGGGCAGACATGGAGCTAGCTGCAGGAGTTTCTTTTGTACCCCAGTGGTGCTTGGAACTCCAGTGAGACAGAACCGTTCACTCCCCTGGAAAGGGGGCTGAAGTCAGGGAGCCAAGAGGTTTTGATCAGAGGGTTCCACTCCCGAGGATCCCAGCAAGCTAAGATCCACTGCCTTGAAATCCTCACTGCCAGCACAGCAGTCTGAAGTCAACCTGGGATGATCTAGCTTGGTGGGGGGAGAGGGGTCTATCATTACTGAGGCTTGAGTAGGTGGTTTTCCCCTGACAGTGCTAAGGAGGCCGGGAGGTTTGGACTGGTTGGAATTCAGCACCATGTAGCAAAGTGGCTGTGGCCAGACTGCCTCTCTAGATTCCTCCTCACTTGACAGGGCATCTCTGAAAGAAAGGCAGCAGCCCTAGTCAGAGGCTTACAGATAAAACTCCCATCTTCCTGAGACAGAGCACCTGGGGGAAGGGGAAGCTGTGGGTGCAGCTTCAGCGGACCTAAACTTTCCTGCCTGCTGGCTCTGAAGAGAGCAGCTGATCCTGAGAAGGAGAATTCTCCCAGCACAGTGCTTGAGCTCTGCTAAGGGACAGACTGTCTCCTCAAATGGTTCGCTGACCCCTGTGCCTCCTGACAGGGAGACATCTCCCAGCAAGGGTCAACAGACACCTCATACAGGAGAGCTCTGGCTGGCATCAAGCTGGTGCCCCTCTGGGATGAAGCTTCCAGAGGAAGGAGCAAGCAGCAATCTTTGCTGTTCTGCAGCCTCCACTGGTGATACCCAGGCAAACAGGGTCTGGAGTGGACCTCCAGCAAACTGCAACAGACCTGCAGAAGAGGAGCCTAACTGTTAGAAGAAAAACTAACAAACAAAAAGCAACCACATCAACATCAACAAAAAGGACCCCCACACAAAAACTCCATCCAAAGGTTATCAGCCTCAAAGATCAAAGGTAGATAAATCCATGAAAATGAGGAAAAACCAGCCCAGAAATGCTGAAAATTCCAAAGACCAGAATGACTCTTCTCCAAATGATTGCAACTCCTCTCCAGCAAGGGCACAAACCTGGATGGAGAATGAGATTGACGAATTGACAGAAGTAGGACTCAGAAGATGGGTAATAACAAGCTCCTCTGAGCTAAAGGAGCATGTTCTACCCCAATGCAAGGAAGCTAAGAACCTTGATAAAAGGTTACAGGAACTGCTAACTAAAATAACCAGTTTAGAGAAGAACATAAATGACCAGATGGAGCTGAAAAACACAGCACAAGAACTTCGTGAGGCATATACAAGTATCAATAGCTCAATCAATCGAGTGGAAGAAAGGATATCAGGGATTGAAGATCAACTTAATGAAATAAGGTGTGAAGATAAGATTAGAGAAAAACAGAAAGAAAAGAAACAAACAAAGCCTCCAAGAAATATGGAACTATGTGAAAAGACCAAACCTACGTTAGATTGGTGTACCTGAAAGTGACAAGGAGAATGGAATCAAGCTGGAAAACACACCTCAGGATATTATCCAGGAGAACTTCTCCAACATAGCAAGACAGGCCAACATTCAAATTCAGGAAATACAGAGAACACCACTAAGATACTCCTTGAGAAGAGCAACCCCATGACACATAATCATCAGATTCTCCAAGGTTAAAACAAAGGAAAAATGTAAAGGCAGCTGGAGAGACAGGTCAGGTTACCTACAAAGGGAGACCCATCAGACTAACACTGGATTTCTCTGCAGAAACTCTACAAGCCAGAAGAGAGTGGGGACAAATATTCAACATTCTTAAAGAAAAGAATTTTCAACCCAGAATTTCGTATCCAGCCAAACTAAGCTTCGTAAGCAAAGGAGAAATGAAATCTTTTCCAGACATGCAAATGCTGAGGGATTTTGTCAC
The DNA here is from genome assembly GCF_000001405.40 of Homo sapiens. Classification (NCBI taxonomy): domain Eukaryota; kingdom Metazoa; phylum Chordata; class Mammalia; order Primates; family Hominidae; genus Homo; species Homo sapiens. Next base: position 159,365 of record NW_003315913.1, on the reverse strand, counting down.
CACCAGGCCTGCCTTACAAAAGGAAATAAGGAGAAAACATGGAAAGGAAATAAATATGGAAAGAAACATGGAAAGGAAATAAATATGGAAAAGAAAAACTGGTACCAGCCACTGAAAAAACACACCAAAATATAAAGACCAATGACACTCTGAAGAAACTGCATTGACTATTGTGCAAAATAACTAGCTAGCATCATGATGACAGGATCAAATTCATACATAACAATGTTTACTTTAAATGTAAATGGGTTAATGCCCCTATTAAAAGACACAGGCTAGCAAATTGGATAAGAAGTCAAGACTCATCAGTGTGCTGTATTCAGGAGACCCATCTCACATTGAAAGACACACATAGGCTCAAAATAAAGGGATTGAGGAAGATTCACCAAGCAAATGGAAAAAAAAAGCAAGGGTTGCAAATCTAGTCTCTGATAAAACAGACTTTATACCAACAAAGATCAAAGACAAAGAAGGACATTACACAATGGTAAAGGTACCAAGGCAACAAGAAGAGCTAACTATCCTAAATATATATGCATCCAATACGGGAGCACCAGGTTTCATAAAACAAGTTCTTAGAGACCTTCAAAGAGACTTAGACTCCCACAAACTACTAGTGGGAGACCTTAACACCCACTGTCAATATTAGACAGATCAACGAGACAGAAAATTAACAAGGATACTCAGGACTTGCACTCAGCTCTGGACCAAGGGGACCTAATAGTCATCTACAGAACTCTCCACCACAAATCAACAGAATATACATTCTTCTCAGCACCATATAGCACTTATTCTAACATTGACCACATAATTGGAAGAAAAAACACTCCTCAGAAAATACAAAAGAATGAAAATTAAAAAAAAAAAGTCTCTCGGACCACAGCACAATCAAATTAGAACTCAGGATTAAGAAACTCACTCAAAATCTCAGAACTACATGGAAGTTGAACAACTTGCTCCTGAATGACTACTGGGTAAATAACTAAATTAAGGCAGAAATAACGAAGTTCTTTCAAACCAATGAGAATGAAGAGACAACATAGCAGAATCTCTGGGACACAGCTAAAGCAGTGTTAAGAGGGAAATTTATACCACTAAATGGCCATATCAGAAAGCTGAATAGATCTGAAATTGACACTCGAACATCGCAATTAAAAGAACTAGAGAAGTGTTTAGAATGGCGATCATTAAAAAGTCAGGAAACAACAGATGCTGCCATGGATGCAGAGAAATAGGAAGGCTTTTACACTGTTGGTGGGAGCGTAAATTAGTTCGACCATTGTGAAATACAGTGTGGCAATTCCTCAATGATCTTTAATCAGAAATATCATTTGACCCAGCAATCCCATTACTGGGTATATACCCAAAGGATTATGAATATTTCTACTGTAATGACACATGCATACATATGTTTATTGCAGCACTATTTACAATAACAAAGACTTGGAACCAACCCAAATGCACATCAATGATAGAATAGATAAAGAAAATATGGCACATATAAGCCATGAAATACTATACAACCATAAAAAGGAATGAGTTCATGTCCTTTGCAGGTACATAGATGGAGCTGGAAGCCATCATTCTCAGCAAACTAACACAGGAACAGAAAACCAAACACCACATGTTCTCACTCATAAATGGGAGTCTAACAATGAGAACACATGGACACAGGGAGGGGAACATCATGCACCAGGGCCTGTCGGGAGGCAGGGGGAAAGGGGAGTGAGAGCCTTAGGACAAATACTTAATGCATGCAGGGCTTAAAACCTAGATGACGAGTTGATAGGTGCAGCAAACCACCATGGCACATGTATACCTATGCAACAAACCTGCACGTTCTGCACATGTATCCCAGAACTTGAAGTAAAAGACAAAAAAAAAAAAAAAGATAAATCCTTGTATATAAAAAAGGAAAATCTCAAATATTTAGTATTTTAGACTGAGAGCTGTCCTATTCAAAACCCACTAATTTACTAGCAGTTTTTTTATGCCGCTGTAATTATTTTTGATTTGTAAATTTTTTTCAGAAAAATAAATTTTGTAGGCATGCTGTCATGTTTTCTTTTTTCATTGTTCATTTTATTTAATCCAAAGTTTTAAATATCTTCATATGAACACACTAGTAATAATCCAAATTTTTTGGCTTTCAACTCCAAAAAGATTAGGGCACTTTCCTCACCTTTAAATTCCATATTTGATGTCACTGAAAAAAGCTGCCTTTGGTATTCCTGACCAGCTTCTCGAGGACTTTTGTGTTATGTCACTGGACAGTTTACTCATAAAAAAACTTAAATATTACATGGTTAATAACACATTAAACAATCTTTATTATTATAATTATTCCAAGGAAATTAAGGTATTTGCAGGGCAATTGAGAACATCTAGCCACTATACTTTATTTTCTTAATTTTAATTTAATTTTTTTATTTTTTGAGAAGGAGTCTTGCTCTGTCATCCAGGCTAGAGTGCAATGGCACGATCTCAGCTCACTGCAACCTCCGCCTCCTGGATTCAAGTGATTCTCCTGCCTCAGCCTCCCCAGTAGCTGGGATTACAGGCGTGCACCACAACAGCTGGCTAATTTTTGTATTTTTAGTAGAGATGGGGTTTCCCCATGTTGGCCAGGCAGGTCCTGAACTCCTAGCCTCAGGTGATCTACCTGCCTTGGCCTCCCAAAGTACTGAAATTACAATCGTGAGCCACCATGCTAACCCTTATAATTTAAAGACGAGGAAGTATGCAGAAACTCTAAGTTGTAGCCAGTAAATGTCAAAGCCAAGTCTGCATCCATTTAAACCAGCATCTTATGCTACTACTTACTAGCTGATAGACATTGAGAAAATTACTCTCTGTAGCTCAATTTCCTTGTCTATATGACAGTAATAATAATACTTCAGTGGGTTGTAGTAGGGTTTAAACAAGTTAATGCCCTGAGATACAAATTAGATAATCAAGAAAGGGAGCATAGTATTTTCTCTGTGGAAGTGACACTTGCTTACCCACTTATGCTTACTCAAGAAGTAAGAGCATTGGAGAAAATTTATGGAGAAGGTAAGCCTCTAGAAGTGATTACAGGGGAAACTATTAGCAGACATCAGAAGGAGTTGACTGTGGTTTCACAAAGCAAATATACTGTTTGCTGTACAAAGCATCATAAGACAGCCTCTTCTTTTTATACCATGGGTTGCTCTCTTTTTTTCTGATCATCTTCTGTGGCCTTCTCCTTTGAGCCTCTTATTGTTACCCTTTCTGGAAGCTGTCTGGCTTGGCAGAAAGAGTATGGGTTTCAAAATGAGACAGTTTATAGTTCAAATTATGGAGTTGTTACTTTTTACCTGCATATGTTCTTCTCAATCTCTTCCCCAACCCCATAACCTGATAAAAATAATTGCAGGATAGCGGGGAATCAATGGAAGTACATATTATACAAAGCCTATACAACTTAAGAACTCAAAAATATTAGTTTCTAACCCTATCTCTCCCTTTTAAAGGAGCTATTTTTGCATGAATTTATAATTCATTCTGCACATGCCAAGTCAGATAATGCCTGAAAACCAGCAATTTAGAATTGAAGATGGACAATGAAAGCCATTAAATAATAAGAGCCTTAAATTAATATCAAAGAGTTACAAATATCAATAATGTGTATCTAAACAACTAAAAGATAATTACAGGACTAGGTTGTCCCTGAAAGTTCAAATTTAAGTCAAGTTCTCAAATAAACCTCAAAGCCTTTTCCTTTAGCAATACCATTTATTTTATACATGTCACAATAAATTTATTTTATACATGTCACGTTTAGACATAAAGTCTTAGAATTGAGAATTCTGTCTCACTGTTACTCACAGATATAGGGAGTTTTATTTACTTAATGTTGTTTAATTAATTTACTCAAACAAGCAATGGTTCTTTCAAAATGGTGATATTAATACTATTAATAAAAGAGTTCATAAGCACCCATTTTTAGTCAATAAGTCATCCCAATTTCCAACAGAAAAAATAAATGTTAACCTTACCGTAAATGTACAAGTTTTAGCGATGGCATCCAAGGCCATTATTTTCCAGCTTTCTTCAATGTTGTCTGGCATGGGTGTGTAAAAATGAGAGACAAAAAGAACACAAAGCAGCCCCAAACAGAGAGCTTTTAGCCCCATAATATCCCTTTTTCCAGCTTCTTCACAGTACTGAGATTAAAATTTTTCACAAACACTGAATAGTAACTAGTAGAGCAATTGTAGACTTGGGAACTCTCTCAGGTGATATGATCATCTTAACAACATGAAGCTAATTTTCAATTCAAATGTTACAGTGTCAGTAGTAACTTGTTTTGCAAGCACACAGACTGGAACAGATCTCATAATTCATGAGGGCGTGCATGCATTATTATCATGCAATGTAATACTCTTACAGTGTTTCTTCACCCTGTGATACCATCATCAGCCCAAAACAACTTTATTATTGAGACTTAAACCTAAATGAAACCTAAATGAACCTAAATGACAGCACTGAATAAGTCATGAAGTAAATTTTTGTGATTGGGTGGTGGTTGCAACATATTTTAAGAACAGGTTTTTTTTTTTTAGCTTGCTGATATTAAGTCAAAATCCAGGCTAATGCCATTATCATGGATTATTAAACATGTTAACAAAACTTTCTTGTGGTGAAACAAGTTTTGGATTAAAAAACAAGGAATGAGGCAACTTGTCCGAGTTCTATTAAGCATCAAACTAGAATTTTTCCATAGACTAAGCCTGGAAGCTCAGTGCAATTATCTGTTTTCTTAGAGGATTACATAGTATGATGATGAACTTTATGTGTCAATTTGACTGAGCTAAGGGATGCTTGTGAACAGTAAATAGCTTGTAAAAAAGTATTTCTAGGTATGTCTTTGAGAGTGTTTCTGGAAAAAATCAGCATTTGAACTGGTAGAGTGAATGAAGAAAATCACCTTCCCCAGTGTGGGTGGGCAGAATCCAATCCATTGATGGACTGAACAGAACAAAAATGTGAAGGAAAGGTAAATTCACTCTCTTCTTGGGCTGGGACATTGTTGTAACGCTAATTCATATTAGTGCTGCCTCAGCACCACCTTCTTGGTCCGTCCCCAGCTTGTCACAAATGTCCTACATATTTTGAGACAGTCTCCACCCAGTTTCTGTTTCAACATAGATGTGGTCCCATTTGCTGCCTTATTTTTGCTTTAAGTCTGGTGAACACAATCATGTAACCCAAGTTCTCACACTTAAACTCATGCTTCCTTCAAATTAACCAATCCAACTCTGTTGTGGAAAACCCATCTAGGTAATCCTGAACCCCAATAAAGGGTTCTACCCATAGGTCCCTCCATCTCTCACTTGCTTTTCATCTGCTGGGTGAGAGACAGTGTCCTTGACTGCCTCACCCTTTCCATTGGCTCTGCAAGGCATTTTACACTCCTCTTTCTGGAATCTGCAAGTAATTGTAGTCTAATTGTGCTGTACCTGACTACACCAAACCTAACTTAAATTCTTCTTCACTTAACAAACCACAACAGACATCCATCTTCTCCTGCCCTTGGATATCAGAGCTCCTAGTTCCTATGCCCTTAGACTCTGAAACTCACACCAGACACCACCTCCCTGCTCCCAGTTCTCAGGTCTTCAGACTCAGACTGGTTTTATAGAACATTAACTTTCCTGGTTCTGGTTCTCCACCTTATATACAGCATACTGTGGGACTTCTTTGCCTAGATAATTGCATGGGCCAATTTACACTTTTTTATATATATATACACACACACACACACACACACATATGCATATATACATGCTAATATATGGATAGAGACACACATTTATATATTATAACTATACAATATATAAATTTATATATTGTATAGTTATATATTATATATGTATATATAATAAATTATATATAAATTTATATATTATAAATATATATAAATATGTGTGTATATAACATATAAATTTATATATCTTTATATATTATATATGTATATATAATTATATATAGAAATTTATATATTATAACTATATATAAATATATGTATCTATCCATATGTTATATATAATACAATAGATAATAGATATATAGATATAGATATATAGATGTATATAGATATATAGATGTATATATAGATATGGATATATAAATATAATGTATGATCGATATCTATATATAGGTATATAGATATACCCGTGTTTGTGTGTGTGTGGATGTGTCTATCTATCTATCTATCTATCTATCTATCTCCTGTTGGTTCTATTCCTTTAGAGAACCCTGACTAATACATATAGTGACTTTGTTCATGTGTTTCAGTGGTAAATCTTTAGGACTAATTCACATGAATAATTTAGCCTAGGGTGGCAGAGAACATAAAATACAAATGTTGGACTTTGCCTGCTGCAACCTGACAGGCTGAGAGAGACCCTGCCACATTACAGCTGATCACCTGAAAATTTTTCAGAGATACAAGGACTACTAGAGATTTTCTCTGTGATGTGTCAGGACATAGTAAATAGTAAGTACAGGATTGGTACTTATGGGAAGTAATTTTTAGTAATAGAATACACTCATATCAGAGGTCCAATATATACTTTTAATGATATAAGTATATATATCATTATACTGACATAAGTAAATGTCATAAGTATATCTATCATATGTATCATTAAAGGTATATATTGGACCTCTTTAGTGCATGAGTATTAACTCCAAAGTCAATCAAAATTGAATTATTTAAACATTTATTTTTATTCACCTATATTTCAGGCTTCTCTGAATTCTTTAGTTATAACTTAATATAGTCTATCACTTAAAAGAAGAACACTATTGCATCTATTTGATTCTCCTCTCTTTTCTTCTTTATTAGTCTTGCTAGCAGTCTATCAATTTTGTTGATCTTTTAAAAAAAACAGCTCCTGGATTCGTTGATTTTTTTGAAGGGCTTTTTCTGTTTCTATCTCCTTCAGTTCTGCTCTGATCTTAGTTATTTCTTGCCTTCTTCTAGCTTTTGAATATGTTTGCTCTTGCTTCTCTAGTTCTTTTAATTGTGATGTTAGGGATTCAATTTTAGATCTTTTCTGCTTTCTCTTGTGGGCATTTAGTGCTATAAATTTCCCTCTACACACTGCTTTAAATGTGTCCCAGAGATTCTGGTATGTTGTGTCTTTGTTCTCATTGGTTTCAAAGAACATCTTTATTCCTGCCTTCATTTCTTTATGTACCCAGTAGTCATTCAGGAGCAGGTTGTTCAGTTTCCATGTAGTTGAGCCGTTTTCAGTGAGTTCCTTAATCCTGAGTTCTAGTTTGATTGCCTAAAAAAAAGAAAGAATTTTTGTTCTTTTACATTTGCTGAGGAGTGCTTTACTTCCAACAATGTGGTCAATTTTGGAATAAGTGTGATGTGGTGCTGAGAAGAATGTATATTCTATTGATTTGGGGTGGAGAGTTCTGTAGATGTCTATTAGGTCTGCTTGGTGCAGAGCTGAGTTCAATTCCTGGATATCCTTGTTAACTTTCTGTCTCGTTGATCTGTCTAATATTGACGGTAGGGTGTTCAAGTCTCCCATTATTATTGTGTGGAAGTCTAAGTCTCTTTGTAGGTCTCTAAGGACTTGCTTTATGAATCTGGGTCCTCTTGTATTAGGTGCATATATATTTAGGATAGTTAGCTGTTCTTGTTGAATTGATCCCTTTACCATTATGTAATGGCCTTCTTTGTCTCTTTTGATCTTTGTTGGTTTAAAGTCTGTTTTATCAGAGACTAGGATTGCAACATCTGCCTTTTTCTGTTTTCCATTTGCTTGGTAGATCTTCCTCCATCCATTTATTTTGAGCATATGTGTGTCTCTGCACGTGAGATGGGTCTCCTGAATACAGCACACTGAAGAGTCTTGACTCTTTATCCAATTTGCCAGTTTGCGACTTTTAATTGGAGCATTATGGAACCAGAAAAGGGCCTGCATTGCCAAGACAATCCTAAGCCAAAAGAACAAAGCTGGAGGCATCATGCTACCTGACTTCAAACTATACTACAAGGCTATAGTAACCAAAACAGCATGGTACTGGTACCAAAACAGAGATATGGACCAATGGAACAGAACAGAGCCCTCAGAAATAATACCACACATCTACAACCATCTGATCTTTGACAAACCTGACAAAAACAAGAAATGGGGAAAGGATTCCCTATTTAATAAATGGTGCTGGGAAAACTGGCTGGCCATATGTAGAAAGCTGAAACTGGATCCCTTCCTTATACCTTGTATAAATATTAATTCAAGATGTATTAAAGACTTAAACGTTAGACCTAAAACCATAAAAACCCTAGAAGAAAACCTAGGCAATATCATTCAGGACATAGGCATGGGCAAGGACTTCATGTCTAAAACACCGAAAGCAATGGCAACAAAAGCCAAAATTGACGAATGGGATCTAATTAAACTGAAGAGCTACTGCACAGCAAAAGAAGCTACCATCAGAGTGAACAGGCAACCTACAGAATGGGAGAAAATTTTTGTGATCTACTCATCTGACAAAGGGCTAATAGCCAGAATCTACAATGAACTCAAGCAAATTTACCAGAAAAAAACAAACAACCCCATCAAAAAGTGGGCAAAGGATATGAACAGACACTTCTCAAAAGAAGACATTTATGCAGCCAACAGACACATGAAAAAATGCTCATCATCACTGGCCATCAGAGAAATGCAAATCAAAACCACAGTGAGATACCATCTCACACCAGCTAGAATGGTGATCATTAAAAACTCAGGAAACAACAGGTGCTGGAGAGGATGTGGAGAAATAGGAACACTTTTACACTGTTGGTGGGACTGTAAACTAGTTCAACCATTGTGGAATACAGTATGGCAATTCCTCAGGGATCAAGAACTAGAAATACCGTTTGACCCAGCCATCCCATTACTGGGTATATACCCAAAGGATTATAAATCATGCTGCTATAAAGACACATGCACATGTATGTTTATTGCACACCATTCAGAATAGCAAAGACTTGGAACCAACCCAAATGTCCATCAATGATAGACTGGATTAAGAAAATATGGCACATATACACCATGGAATACTATGCAGCCATAAAAAAGGATGATTTCGTGTCCTTTGTAGGGACATGGATGAAGCTGGAAACCATCATTCTCAGCAAACTATTGCAAGGACAGAAAACCGAACACCGCATGTTCTCACTCATAGGTGGGAATTGAACAATAAGAACACTTGGACACAGGAAGGGGAACATCACATACCGGGGCCTGTCATGGAGTGGGGGGAGGGGGGAGGGATAGCATTAGGAGATATACCTAATGTAAATGACGAGTTAATGGGTGCAGCACACCAACATGGCGCATGTATACATATGTAACAAACCTGCACGTTGTGCGCATGTACCCTAGAACTTAAAGTATAATAAGAAAAAAAGCTACATGCTAAAAAAATAAATAAATAAAGAAGAACACTATTAAATAAAAGAGACACTACTATTAATAATAATGTGCATATATTGGAACTGTCCTGGATAAAATGAGACTTATCATCTTAGCCCAATTATAAAACTTAAATTTAACTCATTTGTGTGCCTCCCTTTTTAAGTAGACAGTAAGATTATTAAAGGAAGACACCCTAATTTTTTTATCCTTGCAACCCCTAAGTGCTCAAAGCTGTGCATGTAGCAGTGCTTAATAAACATTTAAAATAAATTAATGGATGGCCTAGTTAATTGGTTAATTAATGCCTAAAGATACTAGGAAAGGGAAATTCTCAAATCCACCAACAGCAATGGTATCTGGAAAGTAACTTTAGGAGTGGTCAGTTATGGCAAAAACTAAGGGAGGAATAGAGTTAAGGTAAAGATAGCAAGACATCTGCCTTCACACACACCACACATGCACACACATAAATGAACAGAAAGAGACATTGTGGAAGAAAGAGAAATAATGTTTGATTTGCCCATTTGTGGCTTTTGGTGTGTGAAGTTCTGAGGCACCATGCAAACAGTTCAGGACAGTGTGCTTATTTAAGCTTCACAAATTTTCACCACACAGTGTCATAATATATGACTAATATCTATGGAGTCTTGGATGCCCCTTCCCACAACTTAGTTCTATTAAGTTCAGACAATCTCAAACACTTTTATAGCAAGTAGTATTTTTTTCATTTCCTCTGAGATAAAATCCAAATTCCTCAATAGGATGGTGTATGTTTCTGATCATCTTCACAGTGTCTCTTCTTTTACCCTATAATTTGGGTTGACCTCAATTGCTGGAAATGATTGTATAAGAACAACAACAACAAACCAATAAGGCTTCTAGAGCTCTTGTCACATGTCTCCTCTTAGAATGAACCACTCAATTTCTCTGATCCCATCTCCTTGTCAAACATTCATTTTTCCTTTTAATTTTCTGTTCAATTCCTTCTATGTTGCTTTTTGTGATCCCTAACAGGTAGGGTTGATCAATTTATCTTTATCTCCTCCTAAAGAAATGCAAATTATAATATAAGTAACACCAAACTGAACTTACATAGTGGGTATGAATCTTCTTCTTTTAATGATATGTGCAGGACACATACATACAAATATTTCTTTTAAACGTTGCTATACATTGAATGTTTTTGCCCCCCGCCAGAAGTTATATGTTGAAATCCTAACCACTTTCAAGAATGAATAAAACAACCAGATAGAAGATCCATGAAGGAATAGAGAACTTTAACTACACAATAAACTGACTAGACCTAACAGACATATATATAGAACACTCCACTCAACAACAGCAAAATATACATTACTTCAAGTGCACATGGGATATTCTCTAAGATAAACTATATATTAGGCCACATAATAGGTCTTAATAGATTTTTTAAAATATAGTAGCTTATCATAAAAAGTATTTTCCTATGATCAGAATGGTATAGTTAGAACTTAATAACAAAAAGAAAACTGGAAAATTCACAAATATGTAGAAATTAAACAACTTTTGTTTCTATTTATTATTTATTATTTATTTTTTATAGACAAGGTCTTGCTTTATTGCCCAGCCTGGAGTGCTGTAGTGCAATCATAGCTCACTGCAGCCTCAAACTTCTGGGCTCAAGCAATCCTCCTGCCTCAGCCTCCTGCCTCAACCTCCTGAGTAGCTAAGACTACAGGTGTGTGCTACTACACTCAATTAATGTTTTAATTTTCTGTACAGGCAGAGTATACCTATATTGTCCAGGCTGGTTGCAAACTCCTGGTCTCAAGCAATCCTCCCTCTTGGCCTCTCAAAGTACAGGCATGAGCCACTGCACCCAGACTAAACAACACACTTTTAAACAACCAATAGTTCAGAGAAAAAAAAAATTATAAGGAAAATTAGAGAATACAAAGAGATGAATGAAAACAAAACCACAACACACCAAAACTTATGAGTTGCAGCAAAGCAGTGCTAAGAGGGAAATTTATAGCTGGAAATGCAAAAAAAAAAAAAAAAAAAAAAAGAAAGAAGAAAGAAGAAAGAAAGGAAAGAAAGAAAGAGAAAGAAAAAGACAAAGAAAGAAAGGAGAAAAATCTCAAGTCAGCAACCTAAATTTATACCTTAAGGAACTGGGGAGAAAAAAGCAAATTAAGCTCAAAGCTAGCAGAAATAACAAGTAGTAAAGATTAGAATGTGAATAAACAAAAGAAAGAATAAAAAAAATAGAGAAAAACAGAGAAACCAAAAGTTGGATGTCTGAAAAAAACCAACAAAATTGACAAACCTTTAGTTGGAACAACAAATCCAAAAAACAAGAATACACAAATAACTAAAACCAGAAGAGAGAGTGGGGACAAAACTAACTTGTCTTACAGAGATGAAAAGGATTATAAGAGAATACAATAAACAGCTGTAGGCCTAAAAATTAGATAACCTCGAACCAAGGGACAAATTCCTTGAAACCTCAAATGTCCATTGCAGCATTATCCACAAAAGCCAGCCACAGAGCTGGAAACAATCCAAGTGTCCATCAACTGAGGAATGCATAAACATAAATGGCATATATTTGCAATAGAGTAGTATGTATTTGCAATATTCAGTCATACAAAGGAATGAAATTCTTTTCCTACAACATGGACCTTGGAAATATTATGCCTAGTGGATAAGCTAGGCACAGAAGGTTAAATATTTCATAATTTCACTTAACTGAGCTACCTAGAATAGATAAATTTACAGACACAACATAAAATCGAGGTTACCAGGGCCTGGGGAGAGGTTGGGAAAGTGAGTTATTGATTAATGGGCACAGAATTTTATTGGGAATGATAAAAAAAAGTTTTGAGTATAGATAGTGGTCATGGTTGCAAAACATTGTAAACGTATTTAATGTCTCTGAATTGAACATTTATGAGTGGTTAAAATGATAAATATTAGGTATATTTTATCACAATAGAAATAAACAAACCAAAAGCAAGCCAGGCAAGTACTTGAAAAAATATGAGTAAACTCTGTTATAACAAAGGAGAAGTTTGTTTTAACGGTTATTTAAAGACCTGGAAGTGATTATTAAAAAGATTGACACATTTTACAAGAAAATAAAAAAAAACCTTAAACTCACAGTAAGCAAGTTCTACATATGATATGGTTTGGCTCTGTGTCCCCACCCAAATCCCCTATTAAATTGTAATCCTCAGCTGTGGAGGGAGAGACCTGGTGGGAGGTTATTGGATCATGAGGGTGGTTTCCCCCATGCTGTTCTCATGACAGTGAGTGAGTTCTCACAAGATCTGATGGTTTTAGAAGTGCTTGGCAGTTCCTCCTTCACTCTCATGCTCTCTTGCCTGCCACCGTGTAAGACATGCCTTCCTTCCCCTTTGCCTTCCACCACAATTGTAAGTTTCCTGAGGCCTCCCCAGCCATGTGAAACTGAGAGTCAACTAAACCTCTTTCCTTTTTAAATTACCCAGCCTCATGTAGTATTTTTACAGCAGTGGGAAAATGGACTAATACAACATATATTTAAAATGTTAGGTAGATAGACATTAACAGCTAGGAGGCGGTAAAAGAAGAGAACAAAAAGGCTGTCACTAAGACAGCAGCCTATGGTCCACCTAAGTTCAGCCCCAGAACTGCCCTAACTCCACCCTAAGGGATCGAGTTACTGGTAAAGTCTGTGGCCAGCACATCCTGGAGAAGGAGAAACTAGGGAAGAGTTGGAAATCCCCTAAAGTGGTGCATACCCAGTAGCACGGAACTGTGTCCTCAAGTTCACCCCAAGCTCTTTATACCATAATTATAATAAAATTTACATGTGGTTTTATCCCTCCAGTGGGTTTTTCCTAATAAACTATGGGTAAGAACATATGCAGTTTAATTTTAGCTATGTAACCATAAACTGCTAATCAAATAACATCATTCTGTCACTGACATAGCCCAAACCTCAACTCCTCTCCAAAAAACTCTCATGAAAGCCCGTTGAGTTTTGTAAGGAGGGGCTAATTTCACTTTGCAGAAATTAGTCTGCTCTCCCTCTGAGAATGTATTACTGTGCTTCAATAAACTTTGCTTTGAGCTTGCATTTTGGTGTTAGTTTGCAATTCTTTGCTCACTATCACATGAGCCGAGATTGCTGGTCCAGAGCTTCAGGTCTGTTGACCTCCTCAGTTAAAGAGTTCATCCAAACGCAAAATTCCCAGTAAGAAAAAGACAAATGTAAAAACATTTAAAATGTGTGGAATGTGTACTACAGAAGAACAGATAGTTCCCTAATATATAGATGTTCTGTATATTAAGAATAATACTACCAACAATGCAACAGGAAATCAATGAGGTTTATGAATGCACATTCAAAGCAAAGGGAAACACAAATGGCCTTTAAACATGTTAAAAGAAGTTTAATATCATGTATAATAGGCTCATAATATTTCAGTGAAATGTAATTTTTTCCAAATTAATTGTGAAAAATAAAAAAGATTGACAACTCATTCTAAAGGCAGCATTAGTTTTGCACTAATACAGTAGTGCAAAATGGTCAAACCATAGGAAAGACAATTGTAACACCTAATAATGTAAATATATATTCCACTTTGATACAAACAACACATTTCCGAGAATTTGTTATACAAATCTAAATTATGAAATTATGTATATATAACTAAATTTTACTTCGTGACATTCTTTTTAGTAGAAAAACGTAATAAGTAACTCAAATGCCCACCTATGGGTGACTGGTTAAAGAAACTACAGCACCTCCACGCAATAGGATATTGTGCAGATATTCAAACAAAGTGGAAGCTAGGTAGTTATTTAAAAATTTCTTCAGAGTATATAATTAGGTAAAAAATAAAATGTGGAGAATTATGCAGATAATAGCTTACTTATAAGAAATAAATAAGAAAAACAAGAATATATAATTGTATTTTCTTATAAAGAAATACTGGGAAAATGAGCAACAGAAAAATAGCAAGGTCAAATGTCATAAAATTAATAAAAGTTACATATAGTTGTGGGGGTGCAGGAAAAAGTGTGAAGAGTAACAAGAATGTGACCACCACTTTTCCATGTTTTCTTTTTTGTATAAATTTGATTCTTGAACTGTATAAATCAGCTAAGTGTTGAAAATAAATTTAAAATTAGAAAACAGAACATTTATATAGATATAAAAACAATAAAACCATCTATATCAATACAATTATACTAGTAATTTTTGTGAAATACAGTTTTCAGTTAAAAGGTTAAGATTAGAAATTTTGGAAAAATGGAGGTAACAAGTAGCAGGCAGTTTTTAGGACTTATTGACATCTACATAGAAACAAATGGAGCACTACATATCAAAACTAAAATGAAATTGACAATGTGTACAACAAAACTTGTTGACAAAGTATTCCCACAAATCTCAAAACATAAGAATGGAAACAAAGTGTATTAATAGGCATAAAACTGGCGTGTTATCAACATCTAGGCAGGAGAATACAGAGGAAAGCAGAGGCTGTCTGACAGATCAAATAACAAGGCTATCAAAAATTGGTTAACAAGTATTCACTGAAAAACACAGGAGGCCAAGTTGAGAATAGTAGGTAAATTGGGACGGGTTTTGTCCATTCCAATAGCAGCTGCCTTCAAGAGGCCCAGTCTGAAACAATGGAACCATCTGGCTCCAATAAAGCCTGGATCTGCCCAGCCCTGGCTTCCATGAAGGATAGAACCCCACAGAGCAGAAATTGATGGGAGTGAAATACAAGCTGAGGAGGACGTGAACAACAAAGAGGCCATAAGCAGAGGTCCAGATAAAAGTGGGGAAAGGCTACTGAATTGAAAAACATCTGAAAGCAAGCCACTCTACTTTTTTATTTTAACACTTTCCAAAAACCGAAGAGGGAACTCTGATATCAGAGAAGACGTCTGAACTGTTTCCTTCTACAAGTTCAGAACCAAATGAAATCCAAATCGAAAAGTATCAAAGTCAAATCTCATACAAAGTAACTATAAAATAAAACATAGACATAAAAACCGAAATAGAAGGAATGGAGAAAAACACAACAAATCACAACAAAAAATGCAGTATGAAAAGGAATAAAATTTTAAATATCAAAAAAGAAGAGATAAATGGTATTCAAGAGAAAGTGACAAATTTTGAAGATAAGCAAAGAAGAGCCACCTCATGGATAAAGCAGTCACTAAAAAAAAAAAAAAATTGGCCAGGTGTGGTCACACCTGTAATTCCAGCACTTTGGGAGACTGAGGCTGGAGGATCACTTGAGTCCAAGAGTTCAAGTCCAGCCTAGGCAACATAGTGAGACCCCTGTTTCCACTAAAACATAAAAAAATTAGCCAGGCATGGTGCCACATGCCTGTAGTCCCAGCCACCCAGGAGGCTGAAGAGGGAGAATTGATTGAGCCCGGGAGGTTGAGGCTGCAGTGAGCCATGATCATGCCACTGCACTCCAGCCTGGATGACAGAGCAAAACCCTGCCTCAAGAAAAAACAAAATAAACTAACAAACAAAAACAGAAGGCAGCAGAAAAAAATATTAACTACAATTCAAGAAACTTTGCTAAAATAAAAAAGACCTGGAAATACATAATTGAAGACCACACCATGTACCTGAGAATATGAACCAGAATGGTCAACACCAAGACATATTCTTATAAAATTACTGTACTCTAAAGAAAAGGGAAATAAATATGTATCCAGACAAAAAGATCACTTGGCTTATAAGGTAACTAATTAGATTATCATTGTAATTTAATAGCCATTCTTTATGCCAGAAGAAAATATAGTGTATCTATATATGTAATAAAAGTAAATGTGAGGTAAGAATTCAATATTCACAATTTTTCAACATATAAGAACTCAGTAAATATTGTACTCAGGAGCACTTCCAACGTAATCCAAAAGTGGTGGGAAGGGAAGAGTGTGGTCCCTTTAGATGATACAGAAGTGAGGAAGGGAAGTGCTGAGTAGAGGAGGGCACAGTCCCTGGCTAGGGCTCCACCCCCACGGACCTAAATGAAAACAGACACTTCCGCCTTTGCACCCAAATGTTGCATTTCCCAAGATCACCCTGGCCTGCCATGCCCCAGTCCTGTGCCTATAAAAATCCTCAAGACCCTAGGGCAGACAGAAGCGGCTGGAGTTTGAGAGGAACACATTGGCGGAAGAAGACACAACTGGCAGGTTGGTGAGAGCACGCTGGCGGAAGAGCATGCTGACAGGCACTGGCAGGATGGGAGGCCATTGACTGGCGGAAAAAGGCAGAGTTTGGCTGGGCCAGTTGGAGCAGAGCCGGGGCTGCTGAGTGGCCCAATTCCAGGGGAAAACCATCTCCCTTCCGGCTCCCCCATTGACTGAGAGCTACTTCCACTCAATAAAACTCTGCACTCATGATCCAATTCTTCCAGTACACCAAGGCAAGAACCCAGGATACAGAAAGTCCTCTGTCCTTGCAACAAGGTAGACGGTCTAATTGAGCTGGTTAATACAAGCTGCCTATAGCCTGCAAATTAAAAGAGCATTCTGTAACACACGTTCACTGGAGCTTCAGCTGTAGACATTCTCCTAGACACTGCCATGGGGTCAGAGCCCCACAGCCTGCATGTCTGTATGCTCCCCTAGGGGTTTGAGCAGTGGGGCACTGAAGAAGCAAGCCACACCCCCATCGCACACCCTGTGAGGGGGAAAGGGAACCTTTTCCGTTTCAAAAGGAATCTAGTAGAGAATAACCTTCATACAACCAAAATTAATAAAGAGATATCAACATAGGTATTGATTGACATCATTAAATATATTGTTATTTAATACATTTATAAAGGAGAATCATTGTTAAAGGAGAGAGAATAGCATGTAAGGGCATTTTTTATCTGACAGTGTAGACAAAGTGCAACTAGATTAAGTAGGGGAAAAAGAAAATAGTAAAAGACAAAATTAACTATTTTCTGTAATCAAAATTAGTGGTGATAGTATTCATATTGTTGTTCTGAGACTGCTTAATTTTTAAGTGAGAAAAAGCAAACTTGAAAGTATTCGAAATTGTGGCTCTTTTAATTTTCTCATTGTATGTCTGTTAAGTCTCTATATTCTTAAATTCTTTTTGTGAAAAAAAGAGAGATGTGATACAAAAGAGATCAGGTAAAAACCTTGTTCCTGCATTTAAGCTAAAAAAAAGAGTAAAGTTAAGAATTACTTTAAATATTTATATAACATTCCTATTTGTGTTCACTGAAAAGAACTTGTGCTCAGATAATAGCTTTGAAACATCATTTTCATCAAAGTAAGCCAGATAGTAAATGGAAATTTGGTACTTGGGGATAAATAGCTAATCCCAGACCTGTGCTGGGAATACATAATGTGAGCCAGGAAAATACCAACATACCAGACAGCAAGGAAGTGGTCAAAGATTTCCAGGCTCATATCAAGATGACTGAAAAGAGTGTCCATTGGCCCTAAATGGGAAAATTTGAACTACTTTAATAAGGAATTAACCAATATAAGGGGCTGAAATCCTTGAGTATATACTAACATATTATTTTAAATTAATTGGTTGCACTATGAAGATAGCAGGGAATCCATTCATTATCTTGAAAAGTAGGTAAAGAAAAGGAAATGATTGACAATTTATCCTGCCTTTCTTATAAGATGTGTGCCACTGGATAACTAAATAATATATAAAGGTAACCATTTTGTATAAATCATCCAGGTAATGTATAAAAACAAAATAATAGAATTAAAATATTTTGCAATCTCCAGTGAATAAATCTATACTTTGAGTCTCAATGGTTTCTAACATAAACAAAAAGTGACAATTATATCCTTTCTAAGGAAAGAAAACCCCACTGTGTATACTCTTGCCAAAGTGATTAAATTTGAATCTGATCAAGCCTTTGGATTCCAACTGGCAATTCACAGAAAATACAGAGACAATGGAACATGGTAAACTGCAAAAAAAAAATGCAATCAGCAAAATCCAGATTTTAGGAAGCTACAGGTCAAATGGTTCATGTCCTTAAATGGCTCATGTCCTTCAACAGATAAATTAGAAATACAGTGTACCTGTAGATTAAACAGATTTAAAAGACATACCATGTTTTAAAATGTGCAAGAATAAATTAGAGTTTCTAATGATTCATAGGTTGGTGATAATACTATATGGAAATGCAGTAAAATTACTACCACGAAATTACGGATAGGGTTACACATGGAAGAACAGAGTAACTATGATTTGATTGTAGCACAAGGGTGGGCACATGGGTGGCTGGCAAAGTTCTATTTCTTAACCAGGGTGGTGGTTTACAAGGGTCTTCATATCATGATAATTCATTAACTATAAATTTGTTTCATGTAATCTACTATATCATTTGATTTTACAATGAAAAAATTTAAAAAATACTCTGACATCATATAGAAAAATTAACCCAAAACAGATTAAATACTTAATTGTAAGACCTAAAACTATAAAACTCCTAGCAGAAAGCATAGGGCAAATATTGGGACACTGGATTTGTCAATGATTTCTTTGGATATGGCACTAAAAGCACAAGTAACAAAAGCAAAACGGACAAATGGGACTACATCAAACTTTACCAAATTTGCACAACAAAGGAAACAATCACCAACAGGAAAAGCCAACCAACAAAATGGGAGAAAATATTTGGAAGTCGTATATCTGATGATAAAAGATTAATATCCAAAATGTATAAGGAACTTCAAAACCTCAACAAGAACAACACAAATAATCTGATGAGCAAAGGACTTGAATAGGTAATTCTCCAAAGAAGATATACAAATGGCCAACAGGCATATGGAAAGATAGTCAACATCGCTAACCATAAGAGGAATGCAAATCAAAATCCACAACAAAATATCACCTAAGATGGCCACTATCAAAAGAATAGAATTAACAAATGTTAACAAGGATGTAGAAAAATTGGAACTCTTGTGCATGGTTGATGAGATTGTAAGATGGTACAGCCATTATGGAAAACAGTATGGAGGATTCTCATGAGATTAGAAATATGATCCAGCATTCCCTCTCCCAGGCCCTGGAATCCTCCTGAGTGACCTAGGACAGATGATTTACTATAAAAAATAGATAACTCATTAACCTCTCAGCCTAAAGAAGGCAAAAGGAAGAAACCAATGACGACAACCTAAACCCTCACAAACAGAAAAGGAGCCGAAGACTTCACCACACTCTTCTCAGAGTGGTGGCAGAAATAGATAAACCTGATCCGAGAGATGAACTAGCAGGTACTACTTGTTCTAGAGTTATACGGAGCCCATCACTCAATCTCTTCCCTTGCTAAATTATATTGAAATACAGAAGAAACTTAAAATGAAATTACATCTAGTAGGTTTTTTTTAAAGTAACAACACTGGCTTTCCCAGTAGGAGTTGCAAAACCCCCATGCTTTAAATCAGAGGAAGCTAGAAGCAACACCATGATATTAAGATATTAGCATAAAGGAAAAGGGGGAAAGGGAAGAATGCATAGATAGGATGAAAGTGGCTAACAAGTACCACATCTACTGTGTTATTCTGGGCCACTGGCATCTCTTCTTCTGCCAAGTCCTACTGTTTTAAAGCTGTATGCCGAGATGATAAGGATCTCTTCTCTTACCTTTACACACTAACTAAAATCACCCTCTGATATGGTTTGGCTCCGTGTCCCTACCCAAATTTCGTCTTGAATTGTAATCTGAATTGTAATCCCCACGTGTTGAGGGCACAACTTGGTGGGAGGTATTGGATCACGGAGGTAGTTTGTCTCAAGCTGTTCTCGTGATAGAGTGAGTTCTCACATGATCTGATGTTTGAAAAATGTTTGGCAGTTTTCTCTGTCCTCTCTCTCTTGCGTGCCACCATGTAAAATGTGCCTTACTTTCCCTTTGCCTTCTGCCATTATTGTAAGTTTCCTAAGGCTTCCCCAGCCATGCAGAACTGTGAGTCAATTAAACCTGTTTCCTTTGTAAGTTGCCGAGTCTCGGGCAGTTCTTTATAGCGTGTGAAAACAGACTAATACAGAAAATTGATACTGAGAGTTAGGTGCTATAAAGACAGCAAAAAATATGGAAGCAAAAACTTTGGAACTGGGTAACGGGCAGAGGTTGGAACATCTTGGAGGGCTCAGAAGACAGGGAAATGAGGGAAAGTTTGGAACCCTAAGGACTTGTTGAATGGTCTTGACCAAAATGCTGATAGTAATAGGGACAATGAAGTCCAGGCTGAGGTGGTCTCAGATGGAGATGAGGAACTTATTGGGAACTGGAGCAAAGGTCATTCTTGTTATGCTTTAGCAAAGAGACTGGCAGTATTTTGTCTCTGCCCTAGAGATCTGTGGAACTTTAAAATTGAGAGAGATGATCTGAAATTTGAACTTAAGTTTAAAAGGAAAGCAGAAAAGAAAAGTTTGGAAAATTTGCAGCCTGACCATGCAGTCAAAAATAAAAACCCGTTTTTCTGGGGAGAAATTCAGGAAATTTGAAATTTGCATAACTAACTAGGAGCCAAATGTTAATAGCCAAGACAATGTGAAAAATGTCTCCAGGGCATGTCAGAGATCTTTACAGCATCAGAGGCCTGGAGGCTTAATGGTAAAAAATGGTTTCCTGGGCTGAGCCCAGGGCCCTGCTGCTCCTTGCAGCCTCAGGACTTGATGCCCTGTATCCCCGCTGCTCCAGCTCCAACTGTGGCTAAAAGGGGCAGCTTAAGCCATGGCTTCAGAGGGTGCAAGCCCCAAGCCTTTGTGGCTTACATGTGATGTTGGGCCTGTGAGTGCACAGAAGGCAAGAGTTGAGGTTTGAGAACCTCCACCTAGATTTCAGAGGATGTATGGAAATGCCTGGATGTCTAGGCAGAAGTCTGCTGCAGGGGCAGAGTCCTCCTGGAGAACCTCTGCTAGGGCAGTGAGGAAGGGAAATGTGAGGTCAGAGTCCCTATGCAGAGTCCCTCCTGGGGAACTCCCTGGTGGAGCTGTGAGAAGAGGGCCACCATCCTCCAGACCCCATAATGGTAAATCCACCAACAGCTTGCACCAAGCACCTGGAAAAGTTGCAGGCACTCGATGCCAGTGCATGAAAGCAGCCACAGGGGCTGTACCCTTCAAGCCACAGAGCTGTGGGAGCCCATCCCTTGCATCAGCATGCCCTGGATGTGAGACATGGAGTCAGGGAGATTATTTTAGACCTTTAAGATTTAATGACTACCCCATTGGGTTTTGAACTTGCATGCAGCCTGTGGCCCCTTTGTTTTGGCCAATTTCTCCCATTGGAATGGGAACATACACCAAATGCCTGTACCCCCATTGTATCTTAGAAGTAACTAAATAGCTTTTTATTTTTAGACTCATAGGTGAGAGAGACTTGCCTTGTCTCAGATGAAACTTTGGACTTGGACTTTTGGGTTAATGCTGGAATGAGTTAAGACTTTGGGGGACTGTTGGGAAGGCATGATTGTGTTTTGAAATATGAGAAGGACATGAGATTTGGGAGGGGCCAGGGGTGAAATGATATGGTTTGGCTTTGTGTTCCCACTCAAATCTTATTTTGAATCGTTATCTCAATTATAATCCCCATGTGTTCAGGGAGGGACCTGGTAGGAGGTGATTGGATAATGGGGGTGCTCAGGATATCTTTGGCTATGCTGAGACTTTTGTAGTTCCATATAAATTTTAGGATTCTTTTTTCTATTTCTGTGAAATAGAAATTGGTATTTTGATAGAGATTGCATTGAATCTATAAATTGCTTTGTGTAATATGGACGTTTTTTAACAACATTGATTCTTCCAACCCATGAACATGGAATATCTTGCCATTTTTTAAATGTCTTCTTAAATTTATTTCATCAATGTTTTATAATTTTCATTGCAGAGATCTTTCACTTCTTTGGTTAAGTTAATTCCTAAGTATTTTATTTTATTGGTAGCTATTGTGAATGAGATTACTTTCTTGATGTCTTTTTTAGATTTTTAGCTATTGGCATATGGAAATGCTACTAATTTCTGTATGTTGGTTTTGTATCTTGCAACTTTACTGAATTTGTTTAACAGTTCTAACAGGTTTTTGTGTAGTATTTAGTATTTTTTCAAATATAAGATTATATCATCTGCAAACAAGGATAATTTGAGTTTTTCCTTTTCAATTTGGATGCAATTTGTGTATTTTTCTTGTCTGACTGTTTAACTTAGGACTTCCAGTACTATATCAAATAAAAGTGGTAAAAGTGGGCATACTTGTTGTGTTCCAAATCTTAAATAAAAGGCTTTTAGTTTTTCCCCATTCAGTATGATACTGGCTGTGATTCTGTTGAATATTGCTTTTATTGTGTTGAGGTATGCTCCTTCTTGCACTGTTTTTTTGAGGGTTTTATTTTAAATTATGAAGGGACATTGCATTTTATCAAATGCTTTTTCAGAGTCAATTAAAGTGACCATATGGTTTGTGTCCTTCATTCTGCTGATATGTTGTGTCACATTGATTCACTCGTGTATGTTGAAACATCGTTACATCCCTGGCATAAACCCTACTTGATTATGATGATCTTTTTAATGTGTTGATAAATTTGGTTTGCTAGTAATTTGTTGAGGATTTTTCAGCAGTATTAATCAGAAATATTGCCTGATAGTTTTCTTTTTTTTAAGGTGTGTTCTTCTGGTTTTAGTAGCAGTGTAATACTGACCTCATAGAATAAGTTTGGAAGTATTCCTTCCTCTTCTATTTTTTGGGATAGTTTGAGTAGGATTTATATTAGTTCTTTAAATGTTTGGTAAAATTTTGCAGTGAAGCCATTGGGTCCCAAGAATTTTCTGTGCTGGGAGACGTCTTATTATGGCTTTGATCTCATTAGTGACTTTGGTCTGTTCTGCTTTTGGATTTTTTTCACGATTCAGTCTTAGTAAGTTGCATGTGTCTAGGAATTTATTAATTTATTTTAGATAATCCAATTTATTGACATGTAGTTGCTCATG
This sequence comes from Homo sapiens, assembly GCF_000001405.40. Taxonomy (NCBI): domain Eukaryota; kingdom Metazoa; phylum Chordata; class Mammalia; order Primates; family Hominidae; genus Homo; species Homo sapiens. The sequence goes on along the minus strand of NW_003315913.1, from coordinate 135,929 downwards.
GTATTCTCTAGTGATCCATTGAATTTCTGCAGTATTGGCTATATCTCCTTTTTCATCTCTGATTTTATTTATTTAGGTATCTTGCTTTTTTTTTCTTAGTTGTCAGGCTAAAGGTTTGTCAATTTTATCTTTTCAAAATGCTAATTTTTCATTTTACTGATCATTTCTATTTTTTATTTCAGTTTCATTTATTTCTGCTCTGATCTTTATTATTTATTTTCTTGTACTAGCTTTACATTTGGTTGACTGTTACTTTCTGGTTCATTAAGATGTATCATTAGGGGTTTTTTTTACCTGAAGTTTTTCTACATTTTTTATATAGACACTTATAAATATAACCTTTTTCTTAGTACTACTTTCACCATATTCCTTAAGATTTGGTATGCTATGTTTCCATTTTCATTTGTTTCAAAAAAATTTTCAATTTCCTTCTTAATATCCTCATTGACTCACTGGTAATTTAGAAGCATATTATCTAATTTCTGTGTGCTTGTATAGTTTCCAAAATTCCTCTGTTATTGATTTCTAGTTTTATTCCATTGTGGTTAGAGAAAATACATAATATAATTTCAGTTGTTTTGAATTTTTAACAATTGTTTCATGAGCTAACAAATGGTCTATTTTTAATAATGATCTATGTGCTGAGGAGAAGAGTGTGTATTCTGCAGCATTGCATGAAATGTTCTCTAAATGTCTATTAGGTCCATTTGATCTATAGTGCAGATCAAGTCCAATGTTTCTTTGTTAATTTTCTGTCTGGATGATAATGTCCAATGACAAAAGTGGGGTGCTGATGTCTCCAGCTACTATTGGGGCTTATCTCGCTCTTTAGCTCTAATAATATTTCCTTTTTATCTAGGTGCTCCAGTGTTGAGTGCATATATATTTACAATTGTTATATCCTCTTGCTGAATTGACCCTTTTATCTTTATATAGTGACCTTCTTTGTCTCTTTATATAGCTTTTCTTTTGAAATCTATTTTGTTTGATATAAGTGTAACTACTCCTGCTCTTTTTGGGTTTCCATTAGCATGGAATATCTTTTCCATCCTTTTATTGTCAGTCTATGTGTTTCTTTATAGGTTAAGTATGTTTCTTGTAGGCAACAGATCATTGGGATCATCTTTTTTTGTTTTTTTTTTAATGCATTCAGCCATTCTGTATTTTGATTGGTCAGTTTACTTCATTTACATTCAATGTTATTATTGATAAGCAATAACTTACACCTGCCATTTTGTTATTTGTTTTCTGGTTGTTTTTTGGTCTTGTTTTCCTTCATTTCTTCCATCCTATCTATCTTTTAGTGAAGGTAATGTCTCTGATGGTATGTTTTAATTTCTTGCTTCTTATTTTTTGTGGGTCTGTTGAATGCATTTTGATTTGAGGTTACTATGAGGTTTGCAAATAATATAACCCATTGTTTTAAATCGATGACAACTTAACAATGATTACATAAAGAAACACACAAACTAATAGGCCAAAAAAAAAAAAAAACCACTGATAAAAACTCTAGATTTTGACTTCATCTCTATGCTTTGTAACATTTAGCTGTTTGTATTATATCTTATTGTACTGCCCATGTCTTGAAAAGTTGTTGTAGTTATTATTTTTGATAGGTTTATTTTTTAGTCTTTCTACTCAAGATATGCATAGTTTACACACTATCATTACAGTGTTGTAATATTCTATGGATTTTTGTTTATATACCACTACTAGTGAGTTTTGAACATTCAGATGATTTGCTGTTGTTTGTTAACATCTTTTTCAATCAGATTGAAGAACTCCCTTTAGCATTTCTTGTAGAACAGGTCTGGTATTGATGAAATCCCTCAGCTTTTGTTTGTCTGGAAAAGTCTTTATAACTCCTTCATGTTTGGAGGATATTTTCACTGGATATATGATTCTAGGATAAGTTTTTCTCTTTCAGCCCCTTATATGTCATGCCACTCTCTCCTGGCCTGTAAGGTTTCCACTGAGAGTTCTGCTGCCAGACATATTGGAGCTCCATTGTGCATTATTTGTTTCTTTTCTCTTGCTGCTTTTAAAATTATTTATTTATCCTTGACATTTGAGAGTTTGATTATTCTGTTTTCAGGTAGCCTACTTTGGGTTAAAATTGCTTGTTTTTCTACAATCTTCTTATATTGAATGTTGATGTCTTTCTCTAGGTTTGGAACTTTTTCTGTTATTAAACCTTTGAATAAATTTTCTTTCCCTATGTCTCTCCCTCCTGTTTAAGACCAATAACATAGATTTGCATGATTGGAACGGTTTTCTAGAGATTCTTAAGTGTGCTTTATCCTTGTTTTTTCCCAATGATCTTTTTTTTTATTTCAACAGATTTGGGGGGGAACAGGTGCCGTTTGTTCCCCAGATCCTTATCCAGATTTGTTACATGGATAAGTTCTTCAGTGGTGATTTCTGACATTTTGGGGCACCCATCACTCAAGCAGTGTACATGGTACCCAAAATGTAGTCTTATCCATCAACCCACTCCCACCCTTCCCTCTGAGTTCCCAAAGTCCATTGTATTATTCTCATGACTTTGCATCCTCATAGCTTAGCTCCCGCTTACGTGTGAGAACATACAATGTTTCAGTTTCCATTCCTGAGTTACTTCACTTAGAATAATGGTCTTCAATTTGATTTAGGTTGCTGCCAATGCTATTATTTTATTCCTTTTATGGCTGAATAGTATATATATATATAAATATATATATACATTTTGTCTTTATCCACTCATTGATTGATGGGCATTTGGGCTGATACCATGTTTTTGCAATGGCAAATTGTGCTGCCATAAAGATGCGTGTGCAAGTATCTATTTCGTATAATGACTTCTTTTTCCTCTGGGTAGATACCTAGTAATGGGATTGCTGGATAAAACAGTAAATAGACTTTTAGTTCTTTAAGGAATCCCCACACTGTTTTCCATAGTGGTTGTACTGGTTTACATTTCCACCAACACTGTAAAAGTGTTCCCTTTTCATCACATTCATGCCAACATCTATTATTTTTTGACTTTTTGATTATGGCCATTCTTATAGGAGTAAGATGGCATTGCATTGTTGTTTTTATTTGCATTTCCCTGATAATTAGTGAGGCTGAGCATTTTTTATATGTTTTTTGGCCATTTTTATATCTTTTTTTTTTGAGAATTGTCTAACCATGTCCTTAACAAAGCCCACTTTCTGATGAGATTGCTTTTTTCTTGCTGATTTGTTTGAGTTCCTTGTATATTCTGGATATTAGTCCTTTGTCAGATATGTAGATTACAAAGATTTTCTCCCACTCTATGGGTTGTCTCTTTACTCTGCTGATTATTTCTTTTGCTGTCCAGAAGCTTTTTAGTTTAATTAAGTTCCATCTATTTATCTTTATTTTTGTTGCATTTGCTTTTGGGTTCTTGGTCATAAAGCCTTTGCCTAAGTCAATTTGTCTAGAAGGATTTTTCTAATGTTATCTTCTAGAATTTGTATTGTTTCAAGTCTTAGATCGAAGTATTTGATCCATCTTTAGTTGATTTTTGTGTAAGATGGAAAACAAGGATCCAATTTCATTCTTCTCCATGTGTCTTGCCAATTATCCCAGCACCATTTGTTAAATAGGGTGTCCTTTCCTCACTTTATGTTTTTGTTTGCTTTGATGAAGATCAGTTGACTGTAAGTATTTGGCTTTATTTCTCCATTCTCTATTGTGTTCCATTAGTCTATGTGCCTATTTTTATACCAGTACCATGCTGTTTTGGTGACTATAGTATTATAGTATAGTTTGAAGTCAGGTAATGTGAGGTCTCTAGATTTGTTCTTTTTGCTTAGTCTTGCTTTGGCTACATGGGCTCTTTTTTGGTTCCATATGAATTTTAGGATTGCTTCTTCTTGTTGTGTGAAGAGTGATGGTGGTATTTTGATGGGAATTGCATTGAATTTGTAGATTGCTTTTTTCAGTCTGGTCATTTTCACAATATTGATTCCATATTCCATGACCATGGGATGTGTTTCCATTTGTGTCGTCTATAATGTCTTGCAGCAGTGTTTTGTAGTTTTTCTTGTAGAGGCCTTTCACCTCCTTGGTTAGATATATTCCTAAACATTTTACTTTTTCTGCAGCTGTTTCACTGTTGGTGTATAGCAGTGCTACTGATTTGTGTACATTGATTTTGTATCCTGAAACTTTACTGAATTCATTTATCAGTTCTAGAAGTTTTCTGAATGAGTCTTTACAGTTTACTAGGTGTATAATCATATCATTGGTGAACAGTGACAGTTTGACTTTCTCTTTACTGATTTAGATGCCCTTTATTTCTTTCTCTTCTCTGATTGCTCTGGCTGGACTGCTTTATTCTTTTTATTGTTTGTTGTTGTTGTTGTTTGTCTTATCTGACTGTGGTTTTTCCAATAGGCTATCTTCCAGCTCACTAATTTTTTCATTTGTTTGATCAGTTCTGCTGTTGAGACTCTAATGCATTTTTTGATATTTCAATTGCATCTTTCAGCTACACATTTTCTGCTTGACTCTATTTAATTATTTTAATCTGTCCATTAAATTTATCTGTTCAGATTCTGAATTTCTTCTCTGTGTTATCTATCATGCATTTAATTTAGCTTCCACATATAGCTATTTCTAATTCTTTGTCTATAAAGTCACATATCTCCAACTCTCCAGGATTAGTCACTATGTCTTGTTTAGTTCATGTGGTGAGGTCATGTTTTCCTTGTGGTCTTCATGCTTGTGGATGTTCGTGGTGTCTAGCAATTGAAAAGTTAGGTAGTCTTCACAATTTGCACTTATCAGTACCCAACCCTCTTGGGGAGGCTTTCCAGGTATTTGAAGGAACTTGGGTATTATGATATAAGGTTTTGGTCACTGCAGCCATACATGCATTAGAGAGCACCCCAAACCCTCTAACACTGTTTCTCTTACAGACTTGTAGACATACAACCTCAGTGGTCTTGAATAAGATCCTGAAGAATTCTCTAAGGCAAGAGACTCATGTTCTCTTCCCTTACTTTCTCCCAGACAAACAAAGTCTCCATCTGTGCTGAGCCTCCTGGAGCTAGGGTAGTGGTGATACAAGCACCCCTGTGGCCACCACCACAGAGACTGCACTGGGTCAAACCCAAAGCCAGCAAATCACTGGTTCTCACCCAAAGCCTGTGGTAAACATGCCTGGCTACCACCTATGTTCGCTCAAGGCCCTAGGACTCTACAATCAGCAGGTGGCAAATCCAGCCAGGCTTGTGTCTATCCTTTCACGGCAGTGAGATACCCTCGGCTCCAGGTGGGTCCAGAGATGCTGTCTGGGAGGCAGGGCTTTAGGAGTCTACTGTCTACAGGTGTCCTAATCTACTGTCACTGTGCTCGCACCCAAGCTACAAGGCAAAGTCCTTCCCATTCTTCCCTATTCTTTCCACAGGCAAAAGAGTCTCAGCTTGTGGTGAATGCTTCCAGCCCCAAGACTCTCTGTTCAGGTCAGTGGGCTACTCTCTGGCACAGAGCAGGTCCAGAAATGTCATCCAGCAGCCACAGCCTAGAATCAGGGACCCCAGGAACCCTCTTGGTGTTCTACCACACTGTAACCTAGCTGGTACATAAACTGCAAGATAAAGTCCCCTTCTCTTCTTTCACGCTTTTTCAAGCAGAAAGCATTCCTCCCTGTAGTCACCACAGCTGGGAATGTGCTGGGTCACACCTGAAGCCAGAACACAGTTCTGAGTCTCACCTAAGATCCACTGCAAGTACTGCCTGACTACCACTGCTGATTATTCAGGGCCTAAGAACTTTTTAGTCAGTGGTGATGAATTCTGTCAGGACTGATCCTTCCCTTCAAGGCAGTGGGTTCCCTTCTGGCCCAGAGTGGAGCTAGGGCCTGGAATGGATGCCTCAGTACTCTGCCTAGTGCTTTATTCTACTGTGGCTGAGCGGGTATCCAAGTTGTAAGAAAAGTCTTCTTTTCTTTCCCCTCTCCTCTCAAGTGCAAGGAACTAGTCTCTCCTGGAGCTGCAAGCTGCACTGCCTAGGGTTGAGGGAGAAGTGTTTCAAACACTCCTTTGGCCACCCCAGCTGGTGTTTCACTGGGTCATGTGCACCCCAAGTCCACAGGCTACAAATCCAGCATAGCACCAGGACTTGCTCAAGAATTGCAGTCCTTGTTGCCTAGACTGCCTTTCAAGTTTACCTAGGACCTCAGAACAGTATAGCCCATGATGGCGATAATACAGGAGTTATTAAGAATTAATTTTAGGCAGCTAGATAAGGTAAAGATTCTAGGTGGAAACTTTTCTTTTAATAGAAACAACCTGTGAGTCATTTCTTTTCTAACAGAAAGGCAGCTTAAAGAGCCAGGCTGGCAACCTTTAATATGCAAAGGCAGGCAATTAAAAACTAGGCCCATCTGGCATGGCCAGTATGGCTAGTCCCACCTTCTCCTTATCACCAGGTGTGCCAAGTGTCATGACCACCTTCAGATAATATCATGCTCAGAACATTATGGTGACCCACATTTGCATATTAAAAATATTCTTGAATAAAATATTCATTCCTGGTCAATGATAATTACAATGAAAGATTTTTTCAATTTAGCAAATGTGTCATTTTAAAATTAACTTCTATAGCTAGTTTTATTTTAGTTTTATTTTATTAAATTAAATTAAGTTTAATTTTTGTTTCCTCATCTCTCACAGCTTCTCTCATGGAATAGATGCTGACTACCTCTCTATTAAATAATAATCAGCAACTATTCTAGACATTATTAAATGGTATTATGGGATAGATGCCCTCCTATTCTCATAGTAACACTGTAGCTTGTTGATTAGCTTTCTCATTTTGCAGTTGAAAAAACTGAGCCACTGAAGAATTAGATAAACTTTCTAAGATCTTATTGTCTTTAAAGCTCATGTTTGTCTCCTACTTTAAACTATATAATTTGAATGTGTGACTGCAGAGTATTATTTTTTTCTACACCATTTTTATCAAGAACCATAATATTGGTTTCCCTGACATATATTTAAAAATTAGCATCTCTCCAAGAATCACTTGAGTTATTGTAATTTAGTCATGACAATAACAGAACAGTTACCCCTTGAGCAAGTGGAAGTTGATCAATCACTAGAATAATCATCAAAATAATTCTTTCTCAATATTTTCTTTCTAATTGTGTGTATATACAATACATATATATAAAGAAATGCATAATGCCAATTCTATTTTAGATGTACAATGTCTTAATTCTATTTTTTATTTGAGAAAGTACAAGTCAAATTCTTACAGTTGCAGAATGTGCTTACATTGAGAAAATAAGCATTAGTCACTCTAAAGTCTAAACATATGTGAGCTATTCAGGGAAGATAACAGCAGTCACTGTAGGGCTGGCCCTTGCTCATACACCTTTCCCTCTGTTGTCCAGTGAATAAGACAAGACATTAGCAATTAATATTAAAAAATGGGAAGTTGAGGTCATTCAGCAAATTTTGGACTTTGAATAGAATATGCCTCAGGTATTTAGTTTGAGAAATCTGTCATCTTTTCTAGGTAACATAGCAGTCAGCCTCTTCCTCATATCCCATGCATTGCTCTGTTTTCTGTGATCTTTTATTGTCTGTTGCTGCTTTCTCCCTAGTTTCCTGTTATCACTATTATCTATGAGGTTTCCAGATACCAGCATGTTTTGAGAGAAGGAGTGAGTGTGGTATCTTCAACGTGGCAGATTTGAGTTCAAATTCTGGCATGGTCATAAAAAAAATTCTAAAATCTAGCAATTTAAGATTGAGGTAGATAAGAGCAGCAGATCTCAAAGTGTGATCTTGCAATGCTTATGGGTCTCTGAGACACATTCAGGAAGTGCACATAATATAATGATTCTTTCTGACTTTTTAAAAAAATCTAATTCACCCATGAGTATACAGTTGAATTTTCCAGGAGCTACATGACACACGATATCACAACAGACTAAATGTGAGAATCCAGCTATCTTCCATAAAGACATTAAAAAGAGTAATAATGGAAAACAATGCCACTATCATAACTATTTTTTCCTATACAAAGACAAACAACACAGACTAAAAGCACAATCATCATTGAAATCACAGAGCCTCCAAGTGTCTTTATCCATTTTAATGGGTTAATAGCTACTAATCTGTCTGCAGCTCCTTCAAGCACTCCAGTTCCTGGCATTAAGGTCATGTGTGCCTGGGATGCTTTGAACATTTGTTCTTTTAATTTTGCAATATCCAAAGACAAGTTTGTAGAGTGTCCTTCTAGACGCTTTTTTATTCTTTCCCAGATTTTGATCTTATTTAAGAGCCATTAATAGTTGCCACAAATCTTTAGTTTAACTCCTACAGTGGTCCATATCATTTGAGATTGAGGTGCCACTATACCATCAGGTTTCCAAATAATAGGAACTCTTGCCATATTTCTTACTATTTCTACCATATGACCATTTTGTTTAGACCAGCTGAACATAGTGTGGCCATGGCACACAGACTGAGAGGTGCAATTCAAGCTAAACATCCCCTTAGGGGACCAATCAATAATGATTCCATAGGAATCGTTGCACAGCCCCTCTGCCTGTTCTGCAATGCAATCTTCCCAAACAAGTATGTTCATTATTTCTGGCCAGGTCCAATTCTGTTTACAAATAGGTTTTTGAGGGTGATATGCCTCAATTAAAGGAGCAGATTTATTATGGTAAATACTGAGATCAGAAAGCATGTGTAACTGTACCATACAGTGATTACATCCAGGCATTATTGCCAGCCAACATTGACAAATATGCCCAATAAGTATAATTGTTTTCTGTGTCAGCCCTTGCTAAAGGAATACTCACAGCAATGGTGATCACTGCTATCATAGCTATCATTAAATTACTCATTGTGACTGGTTGTCCCGCTTTTCTCAGGTTTTCTTCCGCCATCTGTGACAGCTTCTTGATCTGTCCCCAGGTAGGTGGCTGCATTCGACGGGTGTTGCTCATGACAGTTGGGGTCCTCCTCAGTGTCAATTTGGACAATGCTGCCACCGGTGGGTCTTTGGGATCCTCCCGAAACCTCTTCCTGGGTATCTGGCTCATGATAAAGTTTTCAGGTGTCTTGATGGTATCCAAATCGACTGCTGGTTCTGGCCTGGAGAAACACAAGCATAACCTCTACCCTTAGTTATTATTTTACCTATTTCCCAACTTTTTGTTGTTGGATCTCTCCACCAAACCAGTTGTTCTGCTTCTGTTTTTGTAGCTGGTTTCTGTAGATGCTGTTCAGCTGCTGATAGCATCTGGCCTTTAGGCAGGCTAAAAAAACTTAGAGTTAATAATGTTAGATTCAATTGTATATGTGGTGTCCCATGGTCCTAGTTTCCCCCTTTCTGCTTTTGCAATTGTCATTTTAGGGAGAGATTCATTCTTTCTACTGTGGCTTGTCCTTGAGAATTATATGGGATGCCAGTAATGTGTTTAATATTCCATATAGAGAAAAATGTACCTAGAGCTTGGCTAGTGTAGCCTGGGGCATTATCTGTTTAATAGAAGCTGGAATGCCCATCACTGCAAAAGGTGACACTTAACACAGACAGAAGACTCTCCTGATTGGCATGTAGCCCAGACAAAATGAGAAAAGGTGTCCACACATACATGTACATAAGCTAGTCTCCCAAACGAGGGAACATGTGTGACATCCATTTGCCAAAGAGAATTAGGTTCCAGTCCTCGAGGATTAACTCCTCCTGTAAAAGATAAGGAACGCACCATTTGGCAAGTTGGGCATCGCTGGATAATAGCTTTAGCTTCTTTCCAGGTAATGCTGTATCTGCGTTTGAGACCAGAGGCATTAATATGGGTTAAATTGTGAAAGTGTCTGGCATTAGATATTGCAGTAGCAACTAGGTGATCAGCCATTTGATTCCCTTCAGTTAAAGGTCCTGGAAGAGGTGTATGAGCCCTAATGTGAGTGATATTAAAAAGAGTGCATTCTAGTCCTAACTGCTGTTTGCAATTGGGTAAATAAAGTCATCAGTTGTTCATCTGTATCAAATCATAACTGAGCATTTTCAATTAATTGTGTGGAATGAACCACATATGAAGAATCAGAAATCACATTAATAGGCATAATAAAAGCAGTCAATACCTCAATTACAGCTACAAGCTCGGCTTTTTGAGCTGAAGTATAGGGAGTCTGAAAAACCTTACCTTTCAAGCCAGAATAAGAAGATTTACCATTACTAGACCCATCTGTAAAAACATTTTCAGCACCTTCAATTGGTTTAAATTTAATTTTAGGGAGAATCCAATTAGTTAATTTCAAAAATTGAAATAATTTTGTTTTCGGAAAGTGATTTTCAAGAACACCCGTGAAATCAGCTAAATGGGTTTGCCAAGTAAGACTATTTATAAAGGCTTGCTGTATTTGTGCCTTCGTGAGAGGGACGACAATTTTTCCAGGATCATATCCATGTAAATTAACAATCCAAGTTCTCCCATTTCCTATCATAGTAGCGATTTGATTTAAATAAGGAGTTAGAGTCCATGAATTAGTATGTGGAAGAAAAAGCCATTCTACTAAGTCCTGCTCTTAGACAATAACACCAGTAGGTTAATGCTGAGTTGGAAAAATCAGCAAATCTAGAGTCTTCTCTGGTTCTGTTCTATTTATTTGAGTCTTATGCACTTGCTTCTCAATCAGCTGTAACTCTGTCTCAGCCTCCTTTGTTAATTGTTGAGGGCTAGTGAGATTAGAATCTCCTCTAAGGATAGAAAATAGATTACTCATGGCATAGGTAGGAATGCCTAGAGCAGATCATATCCAATTAATGTCCCCTAGTAATTTTTGAAAGTCATTTGATGTTTTCAATTGATCCCTACATATGGTTACTTTCTGTGGCACAATAGTAGTGTCATTTACTGAAGTCCCCAAGTAGGAGTAAGGAGTAGTAGTCTGACTTTTGTCAGGAGCTATAATTAAACCAACACGAGAAATCAAATTTTGCAAGTGATCATAACATTTGAGTAATATTTCTCAAGTGGGAGCAGCACAAAGTATACCATCCATATAATGAATAATGTAACACTGTGATAACTTTTTATGAGTAGGTTCAATTGCTTGCCCTACGTAAGTCTGGCAAATTGTTGGACTGTTTAGCATGCCTTGTAGCAACACTTTGCAGTGAAAATGCTTAGCAGGCTGAAGGTTGTTTACTGCAGGAATTGTAAGTGCAAACCATTCACAGTCTTGCTCAGCTAAAGGGATAGTAAAGAAACAGTCTTTTAAATCTATGATGATTAAAGGCCAATTTTTTGGAATCAAAGCAGGAGAAGGCAGTCCTGGCTACAATGCTCCCATAGGTTGTATAACTGAATTAATGGCTCTAAGATATGTCAACATTCTCCATTTACCTGATTTTTTCTTAATTACAAAAACTGGAGAATTCCAAGGGGAAAATGTTGGCGCTATATGTCCTTTTTCTAATTGTTTAATAAGTAAGTCCTCTAAAGCCTCCAGTTTCTCTTTGCCTAGCAGCCATTGTTCTATCCAAATTGGTTTATCTGTTAACCATTTTAAAGGTATAGGTTCTGGAGGCTTAACAATGGCCACCATAAAAAATGATATCCTAAACCTTGGCAAGAACTTTGTCTTTCTGCTTTAAGCGGTTCTTTCAAACCTTGCAAATTTTTTCCTAGTCCCATACCAGGGACATGCCCCATTTCATGCATCATATGTTGACTTTGAGGGCTATATAATTGTTCTGGAATTAGAACCTGTGCTCCCCATTGCTGTAATAAATCTCTTCCCCATAAATTTATAGGTACAGAAGTTATAATTGGTTGAATAGTCCCAGGCTGTCCATTGGGCCCTTCACAATGCAAAATATAACTACTTTGATATACTTCAGGGGCTTTACCAACTCCAACTATGTTAAATTTAGTGGGTTGAATTGGCCACGCTGACAGCCAGTGCTGCAGAGAAATTATTGAAATGTCTGCTCCTGTATATACCAAACCTTTATACTTCTTTCCCTGAATAGTTATTTCACAGGTAGGTTATTTATCAGTAATTTGATTTGCCCAGTAAGCTGCTTTGCCTTGTTTATTTGTGCTTCCAAATCCTCCTGTTCATTTAATTTCATTTTTCCCCATTTCCACATATGGCACAATCAGGAGCTGTGCTATATGCTCTCCTGGCTCTGCTTTCCAGGGAACAGAAGTAGACATAACAATTGGAATTTCCCCATTGTAATCTGAATCAATGACTCCTGTTTGTACTTGTTGTCCTTTTACATTTAAACTAGACCTACCTACAAGTAATCCTACCATCTCTGCTGGCAACATCTGACCGGAGACAGCAACATTCTTTAACAGCCCCATTACAAAAGGAGAACCTGGTCCATATTGATTAATAGCTTGTTTAAATTCTTCGAGTAATTTGAAAGGAAAAGGCTCAAATGTGGCTATAAGATTTCCCTGTTGATCTGGGGGGTGTATCCTAACAGGGAACTGCCAAGCCTCTATATCACCCTCTCTTCTAGCTTGCTGGATTCCTGCCTGAATATAACTGAGAGCAGTCTCTTGAGGAGCTGCTCGAACAGTCACTGGGGCAACTACTTTTCACCCAGCTTCCTCCAAAAAAGAAAGATCTGTAGGGTCAGGCCACTCTATTTCTTCAAAATAATGAGGGGACGCAGAAGGGTAGGGACAAACCTCTTCCTCCTTTGCTGCTTTAGCTTTAGCTGGTAAACAAACTTGCTATATTACTTCATTATACTCTCCTTCCTCCTCATCAACAGTGTGAAAAGGTTCCAAGGTGGAATGAACCAGAGCCTGCACTTGTCCCATTGTTACCCTGATGCTTCTGAGCTCCCCTTCTTACTCACCACGGGAATTGCTTAAGAGTACTCGGGTGTCCTCCAGCTTAGTTCCATGTTCTCCAACCATTGCTCTGGCGACCCTTCGACCTGGGTTCAAGCCCCATGTATGGGCACCACTTGACAAGACCAGCTCGATCATGGAGACCCTAATCCAGCAGCGCTAGAGGAATTAAAGACACATGCACAGAAATATAGAATGTGGACTGGGAAATCAGGGGACTCACAGCCTTCAGACCTGAGAGCCACTAACAGAGATATTTATTGACAGCATATGTTTATTGACATATTTATTGACATCAAGCCAGTGATAGGTATTGTTTCTATAGATTATAGATTAACTAAAAGTATTCCTTACGGGAAACAAAGGGATGGGCCTAAACAAAGGGATGGGCTCTGGCTAGTTATCTGCAGCAGGAACACATCCTTAAGGCACAGATCGCTCATGCTATTTTTTGTGACTCAGGAACACCTTTAAGCAGTTTTCCACCCTGGGTGGGCCAGATGTTCCTTGCCCTCATTTTGATAAACCCACAACTTCAGCGTGGGTGTCATGGCCATCACGAACATGTCACAGTGCTGCAGAGATTTTGTTTATGGCCAGTTTTGGGGCCAGTTTATGGCCAGATTTGGGGGCCTGTTCTCAACAGAAACAACAATATTACCATGAATTATCCAAAAAATATAAGAAATACTTCTCAGTTTATTTTATGAGTTCAGTATGGAGTTAATATCAAATTCTGACAAGAACATTCCAAGGAATATCACAGGACATCATCACTCATGAATAGTGATGCAAAAATGTTAAACAAATGGTTATCAATCCAAATCAAGATGTATATAAAGCACATCACAAATTAGTTGGATCATGTTCATGATGTTTTACTAGTTGATTAAAGCCAGTCAGAGGGCCTGACATCTGAAAAGGCAAAAGAGGGCCACTGAGAAGCACCACTCTGCGTTCACAGTGCAGCACACTTTCACCACCTCAGTTCAGCTAAGCCATACACTGTCTCTACCTTTCTATACACCAATATAAAAGAAAAGTCTTTCACTTACAACTTGAACTATGTCTAAGTAGGATGATATATTTCACTCTAACTAGATCTAACCAACTAGGGTGATAAACAGATATGACGTGAGCAAATCTAAGATGCTGGTCCACCACAGAACATAACAGAACACTTTATACTGAGCAATAAACAATAAAATTCATTATAACCAATCCAAAATCAATTTATGGACTCCTGTCATCCTATTCAGGGTGCAAGTTTCACATATAATTTATGTAACCACAGGAGACTCCCTCCCTTTAAGATTCCTGGACTTTTCTTGTTAATTATCTAGCAAGTGTTTCTTTTCATAACAAATAAATAAATTCAGTGGCCAGGGGCAGTGGCTCACACCTGTGATCCCAGCACTTTGGGAGGCTGAGGCAGGTGGACCACTTGAGGTCAGGAGTTCAAGACCAGCCTGACCAATATGGTGAAACCCCATCTCTACTAAAACTACAAAAATTATCCAGGTGTGCTGGTGTGCACCTGTAGTCCCAGCTACTTGGGAGGCTGAGGCAGGAGAATCACTTGAACCCAGGAGACGGAGGTTGCAGTGAGCCGAGATGGTGCCAGTGCACTCCAGCCTGGGCAACAGAGTGGGACTCCATCATAAATAAATAAATAAATTAATTAATTAATTAATTAATTCAGCACTTGGTTAATTGATAGCTGGTACATTTACACATTAACATGTTGGTTTTTGATCTTTACAGCTTTAGTGTTTTTATTATATTTTAATATTTAATTTTTGCAATTAACTCAAATACTTTAAAGAGGTTCATTATATTATTATAATACTCTGAATTCTAACAGGAGGTACAAATGCTAAAAATTAACCCTCTTTGAATACTCATACAGCTATGAATACATTATTACCCAAGAAGATATAAGGTAAAAAAATTACTAGGTCAGTAAATGTATTTCTTAGTTTCAAAAACTCATTTTCTACAGTTGGAATTCAACCAATGGCTGTGAATCTAAATGAACTTCAGGTAATCAACTCTGGGGGAAGCGTCTCTCTCTGATTGCAGTGGGAACAAGTCTCACATTAAGACTTGATGTCTTTCCTTTTAAGTCAACATCAAAATGCACATTCATTTTTAAGTTTTATGTCTAACCCAGGTGAACAAAGTCAATATGTGATACTCTCAGAAACAAGATTGGTTTCTCCCACACTTAGTTCTGAGTCCTTCTGAACTCAGGGCAGTACCAGAGAGATGATCTGTAATTGACTCCAGACACTCAGCAACATAATATGGATCATAAGGAAAGAACTGGACCCCTTTTGCTAAGCACAATTGTTCTTCTTCAAACTTTTAACCATGATTTTCTCATAAAGATAAACTGTGTCTTTGTTATACAAATGAACTAATTAATTTCTTGTGACGTTTCAAAGACCTAAATATGAAACAGATTTTTATCTTTGGTACATTGTAAAATTATAGTTAATTAACCTGATCAACCACCATTTCTCTGCATAAACCATGTGGTGATTATTAGTCTTTTCTTTAAAGCTTTTCTGACTCAAATTCCTAAAACTCGACCTTGGGAACTTCTTCTAGGGCTAGAAATTTTTTTTTCTGCTTTTTTTTCCTTTTTTTTTTTAATGATACTTTAAGTTCTGGAATACATGTGCAGAACATACACATGCCATGGTGGTTTGCTGTACCCATCAACCTGTCATCTACATTAGGTGTTTCTCCTAATGCTATCCCTTCCCTAGCCCCTGACCCCCTGATAGGCCCCAGTGTGTGATGTTCCCCTCCCTGTGTCCACGTGTTCTCATTGTTCAACTCCCACTTATGAGTGAGAACATGTGGTGTTTGGTTTCTAGGGCTTGAAATTTGAATATATGGTTAGGGAAATGATTTCATGATGACAAATTTCCCGTCAATCACAACTGAGCCTAACAGAAATCAATGCATGTACATGAATACAATTTTTAATTCAACCCGAAAAAAACCAAAAGAAGTAAAAAATGAGAATTGCTATTTACATCATAAACAAAATAATTATCCACATAATATTTAGCTACCAAAAATCAATAATAAGAAAAAAATCATTTTTAAAAATTCATAGAAGATTTGGGCAGATCAAAAAATGAGAAATACAAGAAATCCATCTGGGTTTATAATATATGAAGACCGCCCACACTAAATTATAAGTGAAATGTATATTAAGTTTACAATAAAAACCACATATCACTTGTCACGTTGACAAAGAACAAAACTTCTGGTAACATAATTCATGATAAGAATGAAAATGAGACAGTCATACATTGTTGTCAAGTGTTTCAATTGACACAGGCAATATAATTTATCATTTAAACAAAAACACTTCAGAGAGTGAAAGAGGCACTATTAATAACAGCATTCATAATCTATGGTTCTGGCTAATTGACATTCCTGCAGCTTATGAAATGGCAACCCTTTAATCATGTTTTATTTGTGTATCTGTCTTTCCAAATAGTAAATTCACTGATGGAAGACACTATAAGATTTTTGCCTTCTGACTCCTAAATATGTAGTACTTAGCATATAGTATGTACTTAATAAATATTTTAATAAATTAAATAATGGCTTAATTCATTCATTAGTGCCTAAAAGGTCTAAGGAATGGAAAATATCAAATCCGTTAACTGTAATAGTGATTAGAATTCTGAGAGAGGCCAGTGATAGGAAAGGCCAAGACAAGAGGTGGCATAAAGTTTACGATAAACAAGATTTCCTGTCTTCAAACCACAAATATAAAGGAGAGGAAAAGAGAGGAATTTTATGAAATTAAACTGTATGGTAGTTATGTAGAGAAGAAGGGGCCAATTAATATAATCAAAGAAGTTAAATGTAGGTGTCTGGAAACTTTTCAAAACTTGGACATCAAGTGGTTGGGGTTTATTCTCTCAAATGTGGAAATATCCATTGTGGTAGGCAGAATAATGGTCCCACAAAGCACAAAGATGTCCACATCCTAATTTCCCAAACCTGTGAATATTTTCTATTACATGGTAAAAGGAAATTGAGGATGCAGATGAAATTAAGATTGCTAATCAGCTCACTTAGAACAAGGAGATTCTGACAGAATATCCGGGTGGTTTCAATGTAATCACAAGGATCGCCAGAAGATGGAGGAGAGAGAAAAGAATAATATCAGAGTGTTGCAATATGAGAAAGTTGACTAGCCCGTTAGCTTTGAAGATTAAGGAAGGTTAGAAGGCAAGGAATGCTGGCAATCTCTAGAATCCGGAAAAGAAATAAAACAAACTCTCCCTTAGAAACTCCAGAAGAAAACAGAACTCTGCTGACACTTTGGGACCCATTTTAGACTTCTGACCTATACAACGGTAAGGTAATACATTTTTATTTTTTTAAAGCCACTAAGTTTGTGGCAATTTGTTACAGCAGTGACAGGAAACTAATATACCCATGAGAAGTTATAACAGCCATTATCACTGTAATATATTCTCATTTCTTTCCCAAGAAAGTTAGAGAAAATCCTAATACTTTTTTATTTAGAAAGGTAAAATATATGTGACATGATAACTAAGTTAAACTAATCAGATCATAGGTGTTTGCCTGGCACATAGTAAGCACTCAGAGACTGTTATTTATTGTCACTATTATATACATTATCATTTATATATACACATATACATATATATGTATCTCATGCATATGATTATATTTTATATTTAATTTTGCAATTAACTCTAGTACTTTAAAGAGTTTCATTATATCATTATAATACTCTGAATTCTAACAGGAGGTCCAAATGTTAAAAATTAACTCTCATTGAATACTCATACAGCTATGGATACATTATTACCCAAGAAGGTATAAGGTAAAGAAAAGTAGGTCAGTAAATCTATTTCTTAGTTTCAAAAACTCATTTTCTACAATTCTACAATTCTACATATACATGTATATCTATATATATATGTATCTAGATAATATCTAGATATATATATAGATATATATAGAATATATATACATATAGAATATATATAGATATATATAGAATATATATATAGATATACATATATACGTATATGACATAGGGTCTCACTCTGTTGCCCAAGTAGGAGTGCAGTCACATGATCATAGCTCACTGCAGCCTTGACCTCCTGGGCTCAGCTGATCCACTCACTCCAGCCTCCCGAGTAGCTGGGACCACAGTCATATGCCACCATTACTGGCTGTTATCATTTTTATAGATGATAACAAGAAAAGAGGTAATTTTGGAGCATGAGGCTTTTCATGAGACACAGCTGTTTGTTGATGATCAGTGGGAGAGGGCAGTCTAGGATCACAAGCACCTGGAGAGCTAGATGTGGCTCAAAAAAGAGCACCCTAAGACTTTGTCCTTTTATTGCTGGACACTAGTGTTTGTCTCTGAAGATTTTCTCATTCTGGTAGTGACACATGTTCCTCGGATCATCAGTCTTAAGTTTAGTGGGGAGAAAATATCAGTTGTATGAAATGAGAAAACAATGAAACTGACCCCATCATCTGTCAGATTGTTTTCCAGAAGCCATCAGCATTGTTCTATGGCTGGCTTTAAACTTTATCTTGTTTTACTCAATGAAAAGAGAGAAGAATAAAACTTTCAGAAGTTGGACACTTTATATGCCACCCTTTGACATTTGGCTTGCAGATGTTTTTGATAATATTGAAGTTTTATAGTTTGCAAGGAGCTGAGTATTTGCCAAGGTTCTCATTCTGTCATTCCCAAAGTTCTAACTTTTTCCTTTTAAAAACTGTTTGTATACATTTCTTGAACAATTTTAGATTTACAGAAAAATTGCAAAGGTGGTACACAGAGTTCCCCTATACCCTGTACCCAATAACAACTTCTATTAACATATTAATACTGTATATTTTTCAAAATTGATGGCCAACATTAAAACATGAACTTTAATATTAACTAAAGTTCATACTCCATTTTCCATGAGTTGTTTCATTATAAATATAGTCCTTTCTACATTTTTCTAGAAGTAAGGTACTCCAGCAAACAACAGAGTTTCGATTTCATAGGCATATGTTGGAATTTTCCACATTCTTTGAGGAAATGTTTCTTCTCAATCAATGAGTTTTATTGCCAACTTGCTTGGCAGAAATGGAACATGTTCATTTTCTAGGTAAGATGGCATGACTTAGGTACCAGCTGTATATAAACGAAAGTAAATTAAAGCTCAATTTCATTTTTTTGTTTCAAAAATCACTCTACCTGTAAAACTGTAAGACAATATATTTTTGTTCTTTTAATCTTTGAATCCTTTGATGTGAGTCAAAGGATTCCAAAATACAAAATTGAGAAATTTTATTCTAAACATAAACAAGCTATGACATAAAGCTATAAAAATTAATGTCATGAGTTAATAAATATTTTAACAGTTTTCCTATCTTTCAGGTACATGAAAAATATGAGAACTTTAATGCTAGTCTAATTTTAAAGTATTTTAACAAAAATTATGAATACATATATAATGAGGAATATTTCAAAGTATATATATTAATGATATATAAAAATAAAAGAATAAAATATCATGACCGCAGTAGCTAAGGAAGAATTCCTAATTGAATATATTATCCAAAGGCAAATGCAATTTCATGCAGAAAAATACCAATAAAAATAACAGATAATAACTTTCCTTCTGGAGGGAGGCTGTAGTGTTGTCGAAAATTAGTGGAGGAAATTGTAAAAAAATCTTTGCTAATACCCATGAGTGTAAAAGGCAGGAAATTGTATTTAGAGACTCTTTTTCTTTCCAGAGAAGAAAGGTTTATCTTCTGCCATTGGGCAAGGATAGCTCCGTACATTTTCCTTTTGTTTTCTTCTGGCCTTGCAGACTATGGGAGAAATTGGAACTTAATCTCCCAGGAGCAATTTTCTCAGCTATAGAGTGGCATCTGCAACAACAGCATCTAGACAAATGAATATAATTTGACCTGTTTCAAATGAAAAGCTTGGGATCTGAAGGCTATGCCTCTAAGCAATCTCTCACCACGGCTGCTGGTCAATTCCAAAAGGGAGAATTAATTGAAATCCAGGAGGCACCTGGCAAGAGGAAATAGACTCCAACTACCTCCGTAATGTACTCTCAAGATGATAGAGTTTCCACAAGTTTATAATGAAAACGAGCACATACAAAGTTTTTAGACAGAAGGTCTCCCAAGGTCCCTCCTCTCTCCCCAGCATCCTAAGGTAGATGTTTTACTGAACAAAGAGAATTAACCATCAACTTCAATTTCAAAAACTATCAGAAGTAACTCACAGAGACCACATAATGTGGTAGAGGCCAAAGAGACTCTACTCACACCCTTCCTAGGCAAATGCTGCTGGTTCAGGAGATATTCAGAGCCTATGTTTTCAGTTTCTTCATTTGTCAAATCGTATTGAAATAAGACAAAGGTTAGGTATTTGATCTAATTCATGGCAGTGCTGCAAAGAAGTGAGTAGAATTTTGTCCTACTGGGGGCCTGGCGCTGTGGCTCACGCCTGTAATCCCAACACTTTGGGAGGCCAAGGCGGGTGGATCACGAGGTCAGGAGATCGAGACCATCCTGGCTAACACGCTGAAACCCCGTCTCTAAGAAAAATACAAAAAATTAGCCGGGCGTGGTGGCGGGCGCCTGTAGTCCCAGTTACTTGGGAGGCTGAGGCAGGAGAATGGCGTGAACCCGGGAGGTGGAGCTTGTAGTGAGCCGAGATCGCGCCACTGCACTCCAGCCTGGGCGACAGAGCGAGACTCCGTCTCAAAAAAAAAAAAAGAATTTATCATACTGGGGGTGGAAGAAAACCCCAAAGTTTAATATGTAAGAACCTAGAAGCAAT
This sequence comes from Homo sapiens, assembly GCF_000001405.40. Lineage (NCBI taxonomy): Eukaryota > Metazoa > Chordata > Mammalia > Primates > Hominidae > Homo > Homo sapiens. Next base: position 115,194 of record NW_003315913.1, on the reverse strand, counting down.
ATTAGATTAGCAAATGGCAGGAAAGGAAACGAGCAGAATTAAATGGCTTTGTTATCATGTTGTCTGGGACTGCTATTGTCACTTCCTGTGCCAAAACCCACTCTGCTGAAGCCAGCTTGCAGAGATGGCAAGCATTCCCTTCCCTGTCTCTGGACACACACCTAAATCACACCTGTTTATGACAGTCTCAAAAAGGTCCTGCCTAGCGTGTGGGGTTATTTAAGGGTCATTTACCAAACCCCACAGAGATACCTGGGAAACTATGACTGGCCGTTGTTCACATGGGAGAGCTATTCAAGGAGGCTTCAAATTGCCTAGATTACTCTGAGGTATTTGCGGCCTGTGGAACAGCAATGGAAGTCACTGCCTGGTTACCGTAACAGGCCAAGACAGACAAGTCAGACAACTGTGGCATTGAACTTAGCTGGAGTCCTGTGATAGTCTCTAGAGGATTAGACAAGGAGAACTGCCAGTGAAATCTGTAATATTTCAAGAATACCCCACATCCGAGTCATTTGGAGAGGAAGCAGTTGTACTCTTTACAACTGGCACTACAGTAAAATTCTTCCAGTAATTCAGGTAACGTTTTGTCTAAGACTAGCCTGGTATCAGAACCTCAAAAGAGAAGAACTCAAGTTGCTTATGACCACATGAACTGTTACTTCCTTAAGAGAAAAATTTTCAGAACTTGGAGAGACCAGTACGAACAACTAGTCTACAATAACCATATCACTAATTAAAAGTAGTTTTAAATCATCTATGCAGCATAGAAAGTACATTTCAGTTTTATTCCACTAATGGTAACCAGAAGGAGGAAGGACCAGGTAGTGTGAAGAGGCAATAGCAACCCTTTAGCCTGGTCACAATTTAATGTCACTGGTACAACATACAAGGCATCAGCCAAGACCCAGGAATCTCTCACAGGAAAGGGATGCTGAAAGGAGAAGGTCTGCCAGCAGATGGTGACAGTCCTGATATGATGCTTCCCTTAATATGAACATTGCCCTTAATATTTTTAGCCATCTAATATCTGGCTCAAATCTCGCCTTCTGAGAAGCTAAATGTATTTTTCTTTTCCCAATATGACTTCATTTTTTTCTAATTATATTGTCCAATATCTTATCACACAATGACTTTTCCTATTTCTCTGCCATTCTTTACGATTCTGGTCAAAATTAACCTCCTTCAAGAAAGTATAAGAGATTCAGGCACGGTGGCTCATGCCTGTAATCCCAGCACTTTGGGAGACCAAGGCAGGTGGATCACCTGAAGTCAGGAGTTTGAGACCAGACTGGTAACATGGTGAAACCCCATCTCTACTAAAAATACAAAAATCAGCCAGGAGTGGTGGCAGGTCCTGTAATCCCCTCTATTCAGGAGGCTGAGGCAGGGGAATTGCTTGAACGTGGGAGGCGGAGGTTGCAGTGAGCCCAGATCGCGCCATTACATTCCAGCCTAGGCAACAAGAGAGAAACTCTGTCTCAAAAAAAAAAAAAAAAAAAAAAAGTATAAGAGAAACAGGTACCCAGACACTCCAAGGTTGATTACTTCTCCGCAGACCTAACCTTCCAGTTGTGTCACTGTGGAAAAATTTTTCCTGATTTTTAAAAACACATTTAATATATAATTTTTATCATATAGGTATAAAATTGTGCATGTAAATATATGATCTCATGACTCTCTTTTATACACTCCCAAATTTAAAGCCAATTTCCATGGTTTTTCTTCTGAATTTGATTAACCCTGACGTAATTTATTAGTCATCCCTGTATTGCTCTCTGGGAGCAAGATGGTGGAATTATCAAAAGATATTATGAAAAAATAGAAGAAATAATCAGTTGATATTGTTGTTCCGCTTATAATTCAGTTGTAACCAGGAAGACTAGTAAAATGCAGATGAAAAGAAGTAAGCATAATGTTCTATCTAGAAATCAAAGAAATATTACCTATTAATGCAACACAGGAAAAATCATAAAGTAGGATCTTGTTTCCTTACTTATGGGGAAAAAAAGAAAACAAAACTAAAAAAGAAGAAACCTGAAACAAACAAACAAAGAAATAAAACACGATTGTTATTATAAATAATACCCCACTTCATGTAAGAATGAAGTGAAGCAGGTAAGTGTCTATCTTTCCAGTGTCTATGGTAGTTGGTGTAAAATATTTCCAACGCAGAATGCATCACATACTTAAACATGTTCATTCTTTTTATGCAGCTGTTCCTTTAAAAAAATCTATCTTACCACAATAAGCCTACTATAGAAAAAGTGACACCCCCACAAATGTTCAGTAGAGTATGGCTCAAGAAAATTCGTTAGTAAAATGTTTTTGTCTTTACATAAAACTCGAGCGAACATATGTTTTACTCTTATCTATACTTCTTTTTTCTTAAGAATCTAGAGAGGAATAACAACTTTTCATGATATTGTTCTCAGAGCCTCTGAGTGGTGATATTCCCATCAATGAGAACAATAAGATATTAATGCCAAAATCTATTCATTAGCTAATATATGCAAACATAGTTGCTAGTGTCTGTGGATACTTAAGATGAAACAAACATGATGTCCCCCTTCTAGTGACTTGTAATCTAATAACCAACTCCTATGGGCTGGTATTTTAAGAACTGTTGAGATAAATTTAATCAGTAATTTATATTTTTAAAAGGTTAGTAATAATTATACATGTGAGAGTAGGAGCTATTACTAAATGTGAGAGAAATACTGTAATAAGAAACAATGTATTATTTTCATGAAAACCAAGAGGAAAACCATAATTCACTAAAAAATATTATACGCACAGTCCCCCAAACAGACATTTGTCTTAAGAATACTTGTACATGGAAATTGCTGCCCTCCCACTGAAAACTTTGCTCTCCACATGCCCTTATTGACCTAAAGAAAGAAACTGAGACAAAATTAATACAGAGAGTTTATTTGGATCAAGATTGAGGACACTGGCCTAGGACATACTTCCACATTGTCTTGGGGAGTACTCTGTTTCATCTTCATTAAAAGTAGATTTTTAAAGGCAAAAGGGGACAAGGAATGGGCTCATACAAGGTGTTTGACAGGAATTCTTGTTGGGCTACAGAAGTAACGTTAGTGAGTGGATATATATTGTTGAACTATATGGTGACCAGCATGTAACATTTTATGACTACTTGGTGTCAGTCTAAAACCCACATAGCTAGTGGCTTCAAGAGATAATTATTTAGCTCAGGAGGAGGGGGCAAGGCATGACTTCTGTCATATGCTGTCACATTTCAAAGGTTCTCTGGGTCTGACAATTAAAGGGGGCTAGCATTTCTCAAATGAAGTTTCTTTTCTTTCTTATTTCCCACTTTTGATCAAAAATCTTTCTTATTGAAAGCACTGATGATCAAAGTCTGAGTGTCAAGGTGTCCCTCATTGCTGGGAAGGCCCATTCCTGAATAGTCCTGCCCCGTGTTGAGGGGAAAGAAGAAGGCATCTCAGTGACAAAATTTGAGAGTACCCAAAAGCCAAATTGAAATGGCATCATAGGGCGGCAAAAAACAAACAAAAAAAACCAAAAAAAAACGAGATCTCAGTCAAGGCATTGATTTATATAGTTCAGTTGCCGTCACCTGTTGAATCATCTCTAGTCTTTGAAATGGCATGCTTTTAGTTTTCCTAGAAGAAGTAAAACAATGAGAGATACCTAGCCTTAATAATTTGAATGATAGAAATATACGCATTTAAGGATTATAATCAAAAAGATAATTTGTATGCCAGGGTGACAAAAAGACAAAGAAAAAACCTGTTCTATTAGAGAGCCAACTTAAAACATCATGAAGAAAATTAAATTCAGGTTTTTCTTTAGAGACTTCTTGTAGCCAAAATCAACTCAGGATTCAGTCCAGATTTCAAATAGATAATAAAACCACACAGAAAATGAACTGGGCTAGAAACTAATATTGAATACATATTGAATACATTACAGTTTTCTTCTGAAACCTAATTTTTCTCTCTATAGTCACCCTTACTTCTAACAAAAATAATTATAATCGAACTAATTTATTTGTTAAATAAATGTTAGTCTCATTATACTTGGCCTGTTTATTTGCATAAAGAGCAGCAATAAGAGTGATCAGCCACATACGCTCCTTCTAAGTTGGCTTTGCTGGAACTTTTTCATAAGGAATTTCAGATTAGACTTTTAAAAGCCTCTTGTGGCTCAGAAGCCAAGCCAAGGTTTACCATCAGATTGTGCCTGTCATATCTGTACAAGTTGGATGAATTTCTATTTTCTTGAGGTCCCAAAACATCTTGAATTTCCTGGGCCTGTCAGGAAGTGACATTACTTACTGCAAGGTTGAGAACCTCATAAGGGAACCATGTATACAGGTTAGGAGGCCAGTCTTTTCAAACTCTACTGGCTCTATAAAGTCAACTTCAATCCCTCAAAGCAATCTGGCCATATCTGAAAAGATGCCATTCCAGTCAAAGCGTTGGTAAAAATAGCCAATGTTTCCAATGCGTCCTGTTATAAAAGGAAAACAGATTATTGTTGAACTTATAGAAATAACTATATTGCCATAAAACAAGAATACTCACTAATAGTTTCCGAATTCTGGAGGGATGAGGTGGGAAGAAGAAGTAAATGTTTCCATTTTTGTTTACTAAAGTAAACTTTACCAAGTTGCTGTAAGCTATGAACAGCTTAAAAGAAAAAAAAGTTTTTTTAGGTCTGGAAAACAAAACAATCAAAGAACCAGCAGTGTTTGAAATAATGTCATGTCATTAGAAATGTCAGTCCTTCATCAGTTCAGTCCCATGTAATTAATTATTGTTCTGATTGATGTTGGATTAATAATCTTCATAAACCCACCAGTTTTTCATTAGAGGTCTGAATTTTTAAATCTAGTCCAATGGTATGATCTCCAAAGTTATCAGAAATCTATATTCAAGAGTTCTTGTCGTGGTTCTTTTCATAAATTTTCTTGAAGACACAACACTTTAGGATTTGCAAAGAACTTTTAAAGGAAAATAAAGCATCAGAATAAAGTAATTTACTGTGCTTACCAAGACACAGCAGAATTTTTGTTTGAAATCTCATGCAATTTTGGAACACATATTAATTACATATTCATACAAATATAATTCAAAGTATTTCAAACACTATTTCATATTTGACAATGCTTCCCATATAATTTTAACATCCCAGTAAGCCTAATGTGTCCCTCTTGGACTTCCTTTTTTTGAATGTCCAATAGTTAGTTCAAGATCAACAAACCTAATTTTAGACTTTGAAATTTGATTTTGGAAAGCCTTCCAAATGTGTCAAAGGTTTAAAAAAGACTTGATTTCAAAGTAGACTGATTACTATGAAATAACAGTCATTCATTTAGTCAAAGTGATAATTCAAAAATTCCAAAAGCCAAAACGTTTACCTTTTAATAGAGAGGGAATTCAGTTTTCCAAACAATCAAAAGACGTAATAAAGACAGTATCAGACCAACAGAATCTGTCTCTTCCTTTCTCTTTTGTTTTTACGGTTTACTGAAAAGGTAAATTAAAAATCCTTTATTATTTCTTATTAATACTATTGAAATTTTGTATAATTAATGCTAAAGCTAATTTTAATAAAATGTTATAAACAGATCCATCCAATCTCAATCAGCTTTGAATATACAAGATAAGATTTTCATAAATCTTTTATAACTTATTATAATTTTTCTATTCCTTTTCACTACTTTCTATATTTCTATATTCAGTTATCATTCTATTCTTTTATTCCTTGAATATAATACAACCTTTACATAACCTTTAAAAGGGCAAACTTACTTTTTGTTTAACAAAAAACACATCTTCATGTCTTTCTTATAATCTTCCTTACCAAAGACACATCTTATTTTCTCATACTTTCTGTATATGGAATTATTTCTCTTTTTACATCTAGTTGCAGTTAACATGTAATAGCCAGAATTTTAACTCTTAATAACTCAATTCATAGTGAAAACCTAAGAAATAAGCAATTTTTAACTGTCGGTCACATGCCAAGAATTTATGAATAAAAATTTTATAATATTTGAAAACACAGGCTTTCTAATTTAACAATTTTTTTAATGTGGAAAAGGACTTTTTACTAATAGATCAAAATAACTTTTGTTTCTCTGAAATAATAAGTCAAAAGCATAAATACTTAAGCTCATAATTAATTATTAATGTCTTGGAATTATATCTTATATGGAAGTGATTTAGATATTCAACTGTTAGAGTAGGTAGCTTAGGCAGACATGAGCAGGGCAGGAGAGCCCACCCATCATGCCAGGAATGGCAAGAGACCATCATGTGATGGTCAGGTGGTTGTTAAACTGTCTCTCTAAAATAATTGGTCAAGTTGGTACTAGGGAAAGGCAGTCTCCCAATAGATAGAAAGCACCTGAAGCTGGTGATTACCAGCTTCCTGGTAAAATCTCAGGAGTTGGGCAAGTGGGCGTATGCATGCACATTAAGAGGTAAAATGATGGAGTTTAACTGGTGTCTAACCCTCCTTTGGGAATACTCAACTAGTAAGGGAAAAATGCCTTAGATGAGCATGCACACAACTTCAGTAAACGTACTGCACATGCAGCTCCTCCTAAGTGCTAGCAGGCCACTGCACATGCGGACAGCCCATCTCAAGAGAAGAATCAGGGAGAAGAAATGCAAAGCCCAGAATCTTGCCAATGTATAAAACCCCAAGTCGAAGGTTGGACAGAGCACTTGGATCTCGCTAGTCTCCTGCTTGGCCCTTTTCCAAGTGTACTTTACTTCCTTTTGTTCCTGCTCTAAAAGTTTTTAATAAACTTTCACTCTTGCTCTAAACCTTGTCTGTCTCTCACCCTGCCTTATGCTCCTTGGCTGAACTCTTCCTTCTGAGAAGGCAAAAATCGAGTTGCTGCAGACCTGTACAGATTCACCACTGCTAAAACAACAAATATTCATCATTTAATATAGCTTAGCAAAATTCTGAGGGTATAGTTATTAAAAATATTTGAAAAACCATTTTAAGCAAACGTATTATAAAACATAATTATTGTTAAAAGTTAATTTATAACTTTTATTCATTCTTGACAGTTGTTTGGAAATTTTCATGTTAGACAAATACAGCCATTATCTCAAGTTAAATTTCCTATTTGCCATTTTTATGTTACTGTTTGTTAGGCAAGTATGAAAAAAGCGAGAACTTTGAAGTTAAATATGTATATTTTCTGGATAACTCAGAGGACGTAGTTGTTTTATTAAAATAACAATACTAAACTACTTTAGTTTAATAGCAACCGTATTTACCAAAAGAGTTATTCAACTCACGTGAACCTGAAAAGCATTTGGGCATATTAATTTATGAGTGCTTATTTATTTATAAGTCAATTTAGTACCATACTGGTAATAAACCATTGCAGATGCTGACCATGGGTGAAAATGCAACCTTCACTCACGAAGCGGGAAGGCATAGCTGGCAGGAATATTCACTCTCCTACATAGTGCCAAAGCCTCCCACTGTCATTAACCTTTGAGTTCCCTAGACCTCATCTATGCCATGCATATGAGTGAGACCTCCAACCACAAAGTGGGAGAGCCTAATCAGCAGGAATTAGTCATGCTCACCTACACTGTGCCCCAAGCTTCCGCTGTTGTCTGCCTCTGGGTCCCTCAGACTAGTACCATGAAGACAATATGCAAACATAGACCTGTACACATGTATACATAAAATAAAAAGGTTTTATAGCTTTGATTTTTAAATTTTAGCCATGAGAAAAGTAAAACTCATTAGTTTAAAAGGACAGCTGTATTCAAACTATGCCTTTGTAAACAGAACAAGTTAAGGTTTATGTGTCTCACATGACTGAAGCCTTTACCAAGTTTTAGAGGGCAAGGTAGCAAATTTACATTTCAAAACACAGAGGAAGAATTTAAGCTTTCCAAAAAGCCAATGAAGTTTTACATTATTTTTGGCAAAAATCATGTCAGCAAAAGAGAGGCAGACTGAAGGTATGCATATAGTTAGCAAGAGATTAAGAAGAAAGAAATTCAGTCTTTTGAGAAGGTTTTATAGAGAGAATGAGAACAGAGGCCTCAAATATGTGTGTGTGTGTGTGTGTACATACATATTCTACATATCTTTTAATTAAGTTAGCCTTTAACTGTGGAGCTCTTAAAAAATATCTTTCCAAAATCTCTGATCAGATTATTTTAGCCAGGACAAATAGCCAATATTCCTGCTTTTGTACTGTTTTCCCCCTCTATTAAACCAAAAGTAACTTTCCAAGTGATTCACTAAAATCAGTAAGCCTTAACCAAGTTGTTTTGGAAAAACAATTTTTGATCTGTTCTCAGACCACCACAACAACAATCATCAACACAAGAGAAGCCTTCTATGACCAAATGCGTGGGAGACTTTCCCCACACACCAAGCAGTGGACACCAGTTGGGTGTCCTCCAATTCTGGAATTTCTGACCAACTGGTTTCAAACTGGGGTTTCCATGACTCCCTCTTTGGGTTCCATTAATTTGCTAAAGTTGTGCATAGAACTCAAGGAAACACTTATGTTTACCTGTTTATTGTAAAGAATATTTCAAAGGATACAGATGAAGGCAGGTGTAGGGCAAGGCATGGGGGAAGGGGTGCAGACCTTCCATGCTCCTCCTTGGCACACCACCCTACAGGAACCTCTGTGGGTTCAGCTATCCAGAAGCTCCTTGTACCCAGTCCCCTTAGGTTTTTATGGAAGCTTCACAATGTCAGCATTCCTTTCCCCAGGGTGTAGGGTGGGACCCTTTCTGGGGAAGGTCTTAAGACCCACAGTCAGAAAGGTGGCAGAAGATTAGTGTCCTGCCTTGGGGCAGGTAAAAGGAAGGCAGGAGAAGGTCCAGAGATTTTGTTTCCTGAGGCCTTGCCCCTTAGGCTAAGACACTCAACATTGTAACAGGCCAGGAGGGGTGGCTCATGCCTGTAATCCAGCACTTTGGGAGGCCAAGGCATATGGTCAGCTGAGGCCAGGAGTTTGAGACAAGCCTGGCCAACGTGGCAAAATCCTGTCTCTACTAAAAATACAAAAATTAGCCAGGCATGGTGTTGCGCACCTGTGGTCCCAGCTACTTGGGAGGCTAAGGCAGAAGAATTGCTTGAACCTGGCAGGTGGAGGTTGCAGTGGGCTGAGGTCACGCCACTGTACTCCATTCTGGGTGATAGAGTGAGACTCCATCTCAAAACAAAAATACAAAAAAAAAAACCCACAAAAACAAAAACAAAAAAACAACAAAAGACTTACAAGGGCTATGAGCAAAGAACTGTGGATGAAAACATTATACCTATCTATCTATCTATAGTGCCACAAAAATGTTATGAGTTTTATATATATTGTATATATAATGTTACTATATATGTGAGATATATATATATATAGTAACACCACAAAATGTTATGAGTTAACCAAGGGCACATGAGGTGTCTCTAAAGAGGTGTAACTCAGTCCTCAGAAGATCCAGAACCACCCCCAGGACAGCTCCAAAAAAGGAAAGTTTCAGTAGCCACAAATGGTGTACTTCCCATATCTGACCCACCATATTCTCTCATTTTGTTGTTGTTTTAACATTTATTTTTGGTACAGGGTGCATGTGCAGGTTTTTTATATAGGTAAATTTGTGTCATGGGGTTCTGTGGTACAGAGTATTTCATCACTCAGATACTAAGCCTAGTACACATTTTTTCTGATCCTCTCCCTCCTCCCACCCTCCACCCTCAAGTAGGCCCCAGTGTGTGTTGTTCCCCATTTTGTGGCAATGAGTTCTCATTATTTAGCTCCTACTTATAAGTGAGAACATGTGATATTTGGTTTTCTGTTCAGTTTGCTAAGGATAATAGCCTCCAGCTCCATCCATGGTCCTGCAAAAGACATGAACTTGGGTTTTTTATTGCTGCATAGTATTCCATGATGTATATGTACCACATTTTCTTTATCCAATCTGCCATTGACGGGCATTTAGGTTGATTCCATGTCTTTGCTATTGTGAATAGTGCTGCAGTGAACATACGTGTGCACGTGTCTTTATGGTAGATTGATTTATATTCCTTTGGGTACATACTCAGTAATGGTATTGTTGGGTCAAATGGTAGTTCTGTTTTTAGCGCTTTGAGAAACCACCACACTGCTTTCTACAATGGTTGAACTAATTTACATTCCCTCCAACAGTGTATAAGCATTCCCTTTTCTCCACAACCTCACCAGCATGTTATTTTTTACTTTTCAATAATAACCATTCTGACTGGTGTGAGATGGTGTCTCATTATGGTTTTGATTTGCATTTCTATAATAATCAGTGATACTGAGCTATTTTTCATATGCTTGTTGGCCACATGTATGTCTTCTTTTGAAAAGTGTCTGTTCATGTACTTTGCCCACTTTTTAATGGGGTTGTTTGTTATTTTTTTCTTGTAAATTTGTTTAAGTTCCTTATACATGCTGGATATTGGACCTTTGTCCGATGAATAGTTTGCAAATATTTTCTCCCATTCTGTAGGTTGTCTGTTTATTCTGTTGATAGTCATTTCTCTTGCTGTGCAGAAGCTCTTAAGTTTAATTAGATCCCATTTGTCAATTTTTGCTTTTGTTGACATTGCTTTTGGCATCTTTGTCGTGAAATCTTTGCCTGTTCCTATGTCCAAAATGGTATTGCCTAGGTTGTCTTCCAGGGTTTTTATAGTTTGGGGTATTATATTTAAGTCTGTAGTCCACCGTGAGTTGATTTTTATGTATAGTATAAGAAAGGGGTTCAGTTTCTATCTTCTGCATTTGGCTAGTCAGTTATCCCAGCACCATTTATTGAATAAGGAGTCATTTCCCCATTGCTTGTTTTTGCTGACTTTGTTGAAGATCAGATAGTTGTAGGTATATGGCCTTATTTCTGGGCTCTGCATTCTGTTCCATGGTCTATGTGTTCATTTTTGTAACAATATCATGCTGATTTGCATCATGTAGCCATGTAGTATAGTTTGAAGTTAGGTAATGTGATGCTTCCAGCTTTGTTCTTTTTGCTTAGGATTGCCTTGGCTATTTGGGCTATTTTTTGATTTCATATGAATTTTAAAATAGTTTTTTTCTAGTGTTATGAAGAATGTCATTGGTAGTTTGATAGGAATAGCACTGAATCTCTAAATTGCTTTGGGCAGAATGGCCTTTTAACAATTTGATTCTTTCTATCCATGAGCATGGAATGTTTTTCATTTGTTTGTATCATCTCTGATTTATTTGAGCAGTGTTTTGTTATTCTCATTGTAGAGATATTTCATCTCCTTGATTAGCTGTATTCCTAGGTATTTTATCCTTTTTGTGGCCATTGTGAATGAGATTGCATTCCTTATTTGGTTCTCAGCTTGACTGTTGTTGTTGTATAGGAATGCTAGTGATTTTTGTACATTGATTTTGTATCCTGAAACTTTGCTGAAGTTGTCAGCTGAAGGAGCTTTTGGGCCGAGCTTTTGGGTTATCTAGATACAGAATCATGTCATCTGCCAACAGGGATAGTTTGATTTCCTCTCTTCCTATTTGGATGCCCTTTATTTTTTTCTCTTGCCTTATTGTTGTAGCCATGGCTTCCAATACTACGTTGAACAGGAATGGTGAGAGAGGGCATCCTTGTCTTGTGCCAGTCTAAAAGGGCAATGCTTTCAGCTTTTGCCCATTTAGTATGATGTTGGCTGGGGGTTTGACATAGATGGCTCTTATTATTTTGAGGTGTTTTCCTTCAATACCTAGTTAATTGAGAGTTTTTAAGATGGAATTATAACATGAATTATTTTAACATTTTGGGTTTTATCAAAAGCCTTTTCCGGTTCTATTGAGATAATCATCTGGTTTTTGTCTTTATTTCTATTTATATGATGAATGACAATTATTGATTTGCATATGTGAACTAACCTTGCATTCCAGGGATGAAGCCTTCTTGATCATGGTGGATTAGCTTTTTGATGTGCTGCTAGATTTGGTTTGCAAGTGTTTTGTTGAGAATTTTTGCATCAATGTTGATCAAGGATATTGGCCTGAAGTTTTCTTTCTTTTGTTGTATCTCTGCCAGGTTTTGGTATCAGGATGATGCTGGCCTCATAGAATGAGTTAGGGAGGAGTCCCTCCTCCTCAATTTTTGAAATTCCTTCTGTAGGAATGGTATCAGCTCTTTTGTATACCTCTGGTAGAATATGGCTATGAATCCATGTGGTCATGGGCTTTTTTGTTGTTGTTATTGGTAAGCTGTTTATTACTGATTCAAATTCAGAGCTCATTATTGGATGGTTCAGGGAATCAATTTCTCCTGGTTCAGTCTTGGGAGGGTGTATGTGTCCAGGAATTTATTTATCTTTTCTAGGTTTTCTAGTTTGTATGTATAGAGGTATTCATAGTAGTTTCTGATCATTATTTTTATTTCCATAGGGTTAGTGGTAATATCCTCTTCGTTATTTCTAATCGTGTTCGTTTGGATCTTCTCTCTTTTCTTCATTAGTCTAGCTAGCTGGCCATATTCTCTAAGGTCTCAGGTTCTCAGCTGTTCATCTACACACAAAGTCCTGACAGCAGATTTAATAAGACAATTGGTAAAACAGGAAAACAAAAGCTGCCCATGGAGGTAATGCCAAAAGGTGGAAAAATGTGGGAGAGTAAATTTATGGGAGGAGTATAGTTTGCTTCCAGATTCCCTGGCCCTGCTGGCATCACCAGCAGGGTTCATGGGTTGATAAGTAGCTATCACCAATAAAGAATAATTTATGTCCTGCCTTTAGGCAAACAGAGGAAAGGCAGAGAGAGTTCCCCTCCTTTTTAATTGTCTTCAGATTACCAATCCTCATTACTTTAGAGAGGAATAATTTGGTTTCCTTCAGTAGAAAAGATTACAAATGGGTACCCCCCAAAAGATAAAGAGTCATACAAACAAATTAGTTTAATAATTCAAATTCATTTCTTATAAATGTTTGTTTCCTACCTAAAGGTATCCAGTGAGGAAAGGAATTTTGTGGTAGTTTTAAAGAATTTTAACTCTATTTCAAATCTGATCTCAGCTAGAATGCTGCTTAGTTAATTCTCTGGATGTTAACATTTTAAAGACATGGTACTACAAGATGATAGAGAGGGAGAAAAATTAAAAATAAATTAAATAAAGAAATTAATAAATAAATAAATTTGAAAAATAAAATAAAGATTTATATCTCCAAGAGACCAAGAAAAGCCTGCAGGCCGTTTGGGCATTTACTGGCCTTTCTGGGGGTTAAAGAGCTCTCTAAAAAACTAATATTTTCAAATCTCTTATCTTCTGGGCAAGAGAACTTGCTTTCATGCACTTTTCAGTTTAAAACAGGAATTGGTCACAATATTTTTTAATGTTCAAATTATAAACAATAGAAAGCAGCTGAAATTTTAAAAACATGCTATGTAATTTTAGGCAACACATGCATACACACACACACACACACACACACACACACACACACACACACACACACACACACACACACAAAACAAACCATTGATGCTAGACTGCCAATATCTTGACCCAAACTTTCGTGCTGCATGGCAGAGGCAGAGAAAGGCAGTTTTTCTTTTTTTCCCCTGAAATTCAAATATCTTACCCTCTAGGCCAAAATGGAATCCCCATTCTGAAAAGGAGGTTTGCAAAGAATAGCCCAAATAAATTTAAGACCTTCATCCAAAGGGTGGAAAAGGTCTGGATTTCAGCAGGTCTCACCGCTTACATTCAGTAATTCTCTTGGAGACAGAAGACAACAAGGGGTTCAGAGCTGGCCAAGTACCAGGTCTGGGAGGAGTGTTAGATGGCTCGGGAGGAGTCAGTCTGAATCCTGCTCACAGCACTGGAAATACTGACCTAAAGAAAGAAACTGAGGCAAGATTAATATAGGGAGTTTCTTTGAGCCAAGATTAGGGACAGCTGTGCAGGAAGCAATTCCAAGTTGCCTTGGGGAGTGCTTTGTGTGGCTTTTGTTAAAATCAGGTTTTTAAAGGCAAAAGGGGACAAACAGTAGTCTGATACAAAGTTGTCTGACAGGAATTCTTACTGGTTTGCAAAAGTAACATTGATTAGTGGTTGACTACACATTGTTGAAGTAGGGTGTATGTGTTATGGCATCTAGCGTATGGCTTTTTTTTTTTTTTTTTTGGGGGGGAACAGAGTCATGCTCTGTCGCCCAGGCTGGAGTGTGGTGGCGCAATCTCGGCTCACTGCAAACTTCGCCTCCCGGGTTCACGCCATTCTCCTGCCTCAGCCTACTGAGTAGCTGGGACTACAGGCGCCTGACACCATCCCCGTCTAATTTTTTTTTTTTTGTATTTTTAGTAGAGACCAGGTTTCACCGTGTTAGCCAGGATGGTCTCAATCTCCTGACCTCGTGATCTGCCTGTCTTGGCCTCCCAAAGTGCTGGGCAGTGTATGGCATTTTATGGCTAACTGACGTCAGTCTAGAACCCATATAACAAGTGGCATCAAGAGTTAATTATTTAGCCCAAGGGGAGAGTGATACATGACTGTTGTCACATGCGTCACATTTCAATGTATCTCTGGGCCTTATAAGTAAAGGAGGCTCAGATTCCTCAGATAAAAAGTTTCTTTTCTTTCTTACCCTCCTAGACTTGATGTGCTTTCTCCCCAGGGTTGAGACCATTTCCCTTCCAGGATCTCCCCATCGTTTTTATGGGACACATCAAAGCTCCTAATACCCTCTTAACTCTGTTGATGCTGAAGATTTTCCCACATGTGTCTAGGGACCCTTCAATCACCACTGATTCCACAAACACCCATAAACTTGAAGAATCAGAAACGCTCAAATCTCAGGATCTAGATGGGCTCAGAGATTGTTCAAGACTCTGAACAGAGGGACGTGATGAAGGCCATTTTATTCTAGTCAGATGCTAAATAAGATGCCAACAGTTGGCCCTATTAATGACTAATATTTTTACCGAAAGGTACATACAATGATTGTAAATTAGTTTTTTAGAACACATGTTCCGGCCTGGCACAGTGGTTCACATCTGTAATCCCAATACTTTGGGAGGCCGAGGCCTGAGGTTTACTTGAGGCAAGGAGTTCAAGACCAGCCTGGGCAACATAGCAAGACCTTGTCTCTACTAAAAATAAAAAGAAATTAGCTAGGTATGGTGATGTGCACCTGTAGTCCCAGCTATTCAGGAGGCTGAGGCAGGAAGATAACTTGAGCCTAGGAGGATCAAGGCTGCAGTAAGGTGTGATTGTGCCACTGGACTCCAGCATATGCAACAAAGTAAAACACTGTCTCAAAAAAATAAAAACAAAAACGACACATGTTCTATATGTTAAGGTTGTACTTTATATTGAAATGGTTTTCTCTCTACTTATACTTCTTTTGTCCTATAAGAAAAATACAGTGCCACAGGAAAAAAAACCTGTAATGGACATAATTATTATTTAATTAAACTGCAGTCAATGCCTTCACATAGAAAGGCTTTAAACAAGGCCAGGCGCGGTCTCACACCTGTAATCCCAGCATTTTGGGAGGCCGAGGTGGGCAGATCACCTGAGGTCAGGAGTTCGAGACCAGCCTGGCCAACATGGCAAAACCCCATCTCTTCTAAAAATACAAAAGTTAGCTGGGTGTGGTGGTGCACGCCTATAATCCTAGCTACTCAGGAGGCTGAGACATGAGAATTGCTTGAATCTAGGAGGCAGAGGTTGCAGTGAGCCAAGATCGTGCCACTGCACTTCAGCCTGGGCAACAGAGTGAGACTCCATCTCAAAAAAAAAAAAAAAAAAAGGCTTTAAACATGAGGCCAGTAACACGGAATCTACTCATCTTAAAATAATAATCTATATCACAAATATTATATGACACAATATAGAGTATTAACATATTGTTCACAATAATTCTAAAACTTTGCAGGCATTATAATTTACCTAAAAACAATAGCATTACATAGTGTAAAACAGTTATTCCTAGATCTTGCTGTATTTCTCTTTATGAGGTTTTCATTTTATCTCCCGTATATCCAAGACTGGGCTGCAACCTGAAATACCAAACCATCCCCTTACTCCACACCAGGCAGCAACTGGAAGCCCTGCTGATGCTACTGGTCACTGTAAGTTTTCTGTGTGGGCACACTTAAAAAAAATTTTTTTTGAGATAAGTTCTTGCTCATCACTTCTATCCAACATTGAACTGGACATTCTATCCAATGCAATGAATAAAGAAAAATGACCAATAAAAGCATGTAGATTAAAAATAAAGAAACAAAACTTTATTCTCAGAGTGATTATCTATGTAGAAATGCAAAAGGAATGTATGAAAAACCTACTAGAACTGACAAGTAAGTTTTGCAAGAATACAGAATAAAAGACAGAATAGACTGGCACAGTGGCTCACACCTGTAACACCAGCACTTTGGGAGGCTGAGTCAAGTGGATTGCTTGAGCCCAGAGGTTTGGGACCAGCCTCGGCAACATGTCAAAGCCCTGTCACTACAAAAAATAAAAATAGCTAACCATGGTGGTGCACATCTGTAGTCCAAGCTACTCAGGAGGCTGAAATGGGATGATCACTTGAGCCTGTGAGGTAGAGGCTGCAGAGAACTGTGATCACACCACTGCACTCGAGTCCGCCTGGGTGACAGAGTAAAATCCTGTCTCAAAACAAACAAACAAACAAAAAACAAACAAAAAAAAGAGTTTTAAAAGGTAGAATATACAAAATCAATTTTTCTATTTACTAGTAATTAATAATTAGGTATTTTAATACTGTTTACAATTGCATCAAAGCATATGAAATACTTAAGAATAAGTTTAACAAAATAATTCAATATATATATTTATGCTTACAACTACACAAATTTATTGAGACTAATTAAAAAGACCTAACTACATCAAAAGAATACTACGTTAAAGTTGTCAGAATTCCAGCCTGGGCAACATGGCAAAACCCTGTTTTTACAAAATATACAAAAATTAGCTGGGCGTGGTGGCACGTGCCTGTAGTCCCAGCTACTCAGGAGGCTGAAGTGGGAGAATCGCTTGAGCCCAGGAGGTTGAGGCTGCAGTGAGTCGTGATCCTGCCACTGCACTCCAGCCTGGGTGACAGAGTGAGACTCTGTCTCAAAAAAAAAAAAAAAAAAAAAAAAAAGAGTTGTTGTCAGAATTAAAATTGTGGTACTTGGTTTAAAACCCTGTAAAACAGAGCCGGAGAAGGTCACAAAGGGAAGGTCCTTATGCAGAAATGCCTAATAACAACTATCACATTATCACAAAAGATTTCAAAAACCACAACCTTGCACAAAGACCATCACAATCTTATACCCACAAATACTTCATCAGGACATGTACCCAGCAACTGCTTGTCCCACTGTAACCACCCAGTGGGTTCACCTTGCCCACCACCTAGACAGAGCCGATGTCTCGAGACAGGGGAATTGCAATAGAGAAAGAGTAATTCACGCAGAGCCAGCTCTTTGGGAGACCGGAGTTTTATTATTACTCAAATCAGTATGACTGGGGATCAGAGTTTTTAAGGACAACTTGGTGGGTGGAAGGAAGCCAGTGAGCCGAGAGTACTGATTGTTCAAGTCAGAGATGAAATCATAGGGAGTTGAAGCTGCCTTCTTGGCTGAGTCAGTTTCTGGGTGGGGGTGGGCCACAAGATCAGATGAGCCAGTTTATTGATCTGGGTGGTGCCAGCTGATCCATCAAGTGCAGGGTCTGCAAAATATCTGAAGCACTGATCTTAGCAGCAGCTTAGGGAGGATCAGAATCTTGTAGCATCCAGCTGCATGACTCCTAAACCATAATTTCTAATCTTGTGGCAAATCCGTTATTCCTACAAAGTCAGTCTAGTCCCCAGGCAAGAAGGAGGTTTGCCTTGGGAAAGGGCTGTTATCATTTTTGTTTCAAACCGTAAACTAAGTTCCTCCCAAAGTCAGTTCAGCCCACACCCAGGAATGAACTAGGACAGCTTGGAGGCTAGAAGCAAGATGGAGTTAGTTAGGTCAGATCTCTTTCACTGTCTCAGTTACAATCTTGCAATGGTGGTTTCACAACCTTGGACTGAAACCACCCTTGTAGCCGAGAATAATTATGTCAAAATAATTGTGTAATCCTTCTCACTTTTCCTTTAAAACCTTTGTCTTCCTTTACCTTTCTTAATATAGACATAGTTTATTATGGCATACATATTCCCATTGCAATGGCTATTCCCAAATAAATATCATTTTCTTTTGGACAGTCTTTCTCTCTGTTTGTTACTGAGATTAACAATGATGTTCATTGATCAGAAGACTCAGTACCGTTAAGACGTTAGGTCTCCAAAAATTGATCTATAGGTTCAGTGCAATCCCAGTCAAAATCATAGCATGCCTATCTGTAGATAATGACTACTCTAAAAATAATTTAGAAATTCAAAGGATCTAGAAGAGCAAAAACAATTTTGAAAAAAAGAACAAAGTTAAAGGATTCACTCTACTTGAATTCAATACTTATAATATAAAGCTTCAGTGATCAAGAGAGTACTATCAGAATAAGCATAATTATTATAACTGATTAGAAATCCACACATATATGGTCAATAGATTTTCAACAAAGGTACACAGGCAATTCAGTGAGAACATGCATGGTTTTTTCAATAAATGGTGCTAAAAAAATTAAACATTCATGAACAACACATTGTTCAATTTTCTTACACAAAGTTAACTCAAAATGAATCATAAGTTTATGTGTAGAGCTTAAAGTATCTAGAAGAAATATTTTTGTCTTTATGTTATAAGACCTGTGTTGGTTTTTTTTTTTTAAATAGCCTGTCAGAGAAAAATAAATAAACCAAAATTTAACATGGTAAATGCATATAAAAAAGAAATAAGAATAATAAGCAAACAAGGAAATATTTTGGCTTATAAACATTAATTTTAAGTAACTATACAGACTAAAATCTGCTATATTTTCTTGGTAGATGTCTTACCAATAATTTCATTTTTTTTCATTACTCCTATAATTTGATTCAAACTTTAAAAAATCATTGTATTACCACATTACTAAAAGGCTGATTTTCACATACAAATAGGTTCATTTCCTTCCTTAAGAGAAAAACTAGAAAAAGAGCACTATTTCTATACCTCTTATCACTGATACAAAATACTATTTACTATTTCTCTCCAGGCTTTTAGCATTTTCTGACAAGTCACTGGAGAATCCCTCACAAAGGAAATTTTTAAAAGATTCTGTAGCAGTAGCAAGTTACACCATATCTATTATTATACATTTTATTGTATAATACTTTGCTAAGATTTTCCCAAGCATCAGAAATTATGTAACTCCTCAACTTTAAAGGTAAGGAGACTAAGTCCAGAAACTCTGAACAAATTTACACAGCTAGAAAATGATAAATTTGGATTAATCACGTTTTTCTAAGTATTGTTCTATTTGCCCTGAAAATATATATAAATAATTACTAAATTCTGGAAAGAGCTTGTAGGAATTCAAAGAGAGATTAATGAGGACTAGAGAAATTAGAAGAAGCTTTTGAAAGAAAAGAGAGCTTAACTTTGAAGGAAATAAAACTATTTTATTCCAAAATATGGCTCCCTGGTATAATCAGTATTCTTAATTAAAACTCTTTAAAGATCAACAAAAATCTTTAGAGATCAACAAGTGGCAGAGACTTCCCCTATCCACATAAAGATAGGACTGACTCACCAATGAGAACAATTGTTTTTGTTCCTCTCCCTGTTATCTCATTATCCATTACAGGAGAGAAGACCAAAAATGTAACCACATTGTAACAGACCTTTTTTCAAGATAATAACTGTTTCCAAGAATCATTTAAATTCCAAAGAGAAGCCCGAGCATGGTGACTTATGTCTATTATTCCAGCACTTTGGGAGGCCAAGGCAGGCAGATCACTTGTGGTCAGGAGTTCTAGACCACCCTGGCCAATATGGTAAAATCCCATCTCTACTAAAAATACAAAAATTAGCCAAGCATGATGGTGGGTGCCTGTAATACCAGCTACTTGGGAGGCTGAGGCAGGAGAATCACTTGAACCAGGGAGGCGGAGGTTGCAGTGAGCCAAGATCGTGCCATTGCACTCCAGCCTGGGTGACAGAGTGAGATTCAGTCTCAAAAAAAAAAAAAAAAAAAAAAAAAAAAAAAAAAAAAAAACTAAGACAACTATTTACAAGTTTATTTCTGTTCCTCAATCCAGTCATTTCCCCCTAGTAATCATTCATTGTTCCTCAATAGAATTCCTCTTCTCCCCCATCCCATAACCTGTTCTACCAGGATCGAAGTCCCCATTCTTTCTGTAACCTCAAGAAAGTATATAAACTATAAACTTCTATACCCCATTGTGAAGCTGAATCTACATTTTGAAGGCTCCCATGTAAACATTTTACATAAATTTGTATGTCTTTTCTCTTATTAATCAATCTCTCTCATGACAGTGATTTTCAGCAAATGTTTAGAAGGCCCTTGGCTCCCACAACTTTTACCTTGAAAAATGCCTGAAACCACCTCTGCAAAAATTACAACAGTGAGAAAACTCTAACTTCTTTTTTTTTTTTTTTTTTTTGGAGATGGAGTCTCACTCTGTCACCCAGGCTGGAGTGCAGTGGCGCAATTTCAGCTCACTGCAAGCTCTGCCTCCTGGGTTTATGCCATTCTCCTGCCTCAGCCTCCTGAGTAGCTGGGACTAGAGGAGCCCACCACAAGGCCCGGCTAATTTTTTTGTATTTTTAGTGGAGACGGGGTTTCACTGTGTTAGCCAGGATGATCTGGATCTCCTGACCTCGTGATCCACCCGTCTCAGCCTCCCAAAGTGCTGGGATTACAGGCATGAGCCACCATGCCTGGCCTGAACTGCATAAATATAATTAAAAACAAAAAATGTATGATCATTTCAATAGATGCAGAAAAAGCTGCATAAAATCCAACATCCTTTCATGATCAAAACCCTCAAGAAACTAGGCACTGAAGGAACATACCTCAAAATAAAAAGCCATCTCTGACAAACCCACAGCTTACATCATACTGAATGGGCAAAAACTGGAAGCATTTCCCTTGAGAACTGGAACAACACAAAGGTGCCCACTGTTACCACTCCTCTTTAACATAGTACTGGCAGTGCCAGCCAAAGCAATCAGGCAAGAGAAAGAAATGAAAGCCATCCAAATAAAAAAAGAAAAGTTCAAATTATCCCTCTTCACAGACAATATGATTTTATACCAAGAACACCCTAAAGAATGTGACAAAGGTTTCTGGAACTGTTGAATGACTTCAATGAAGTTTCAGGAAACAAAATCAATGTACACAAATCAGTAGCATTTTTATACACCAATAATGTTCAAGCTGAGAGCCAAAACAAGAATGCAATTCCATTTATAATAGCTGCAACAACAACCACCACCAAAATCCTAGGAATACAGCTAACTAAGAAAGGGAAAGATCTCTACAAGCAGAACTGCAAATCACCACTAAAAGAAATCACAGATAACACAAGCAAATGGAAAAACATTCCATGCTCATAGATTGGAAGAATCAATATTGTTAAAATGGCCATACTGCCCAAAGCAATCTACAAATTTAACATAATTCCTATCAAGATACTAATGTCATTTTTCACAGAAGATGAAATAGAAATAAACTATTCTAACATTCATATAGAATCAAAAAAGAGCCCAAATAGCAATCTTAAGCAAAAAGAACAAAGCCTGAGGCATCCATCAGATTATCTGACTTCAAAGTACACTATGAGACTACAGTAACCGGCCAGGTGCGGTGGCTCATGCCTGTAATCCCAGCACTTTGGGAGGCTGAGGTGGGTGGATCACCTGAGGTAGGGAGTTTGTGACCAGCCTGACCAACATGGAAAAACCCTGTCTCTACTAAAAATACAAAATTAGCCAGGTGTGGTGGCACATGCCTGTAATTCCAGCTACCAGGAGGCTGAGGCAGGAAAATCACTTGAACCCGGGAGGCAGAGGTTGTGATGAGCTGAGATGGAGCCACTGCACTCCAGCCTGGGCAACAAGAGCGAAACTCCATCCCCCCACCCAACCAAAAAAAAGACTACAGTAACCAAAACAGCATAATATTGTTACAAAAACTAGATGCATACACCAGTGGAACAGAATAGAGAACCCAGAAATAAAGATACACATGTATATCCATCTGATCTTGGACAGAGGAGACAAAAAATGTGCAACGGGGAAAGGACTCCCCATTTAATAATTGGTGCTAGGATAGCTGCTGGCCATATGCAGAAGAATGAAACATGATCTCGACCTTTCAGCATATACAAAGTTAACTCAAGAAGGACTAAAGATTTAAATGAAAGACCTCAACTATAAGAATCCTAGAAGAAAACCTCAGAAATATCATTCTTGACACAGGCCTTGAGAAAGAATTTATGATTATCCTCAAAAGCAATTGCAACAAAAACAAAAATTGACAAGTGGTACCTAATAAACTCAAGAGCTTCTGCATAGCAAAGGAAACTGTAAACAGAGTAAACAGACAACCTACACAATGGGAGACAATACAAACTATGCATAAAACAAAGGTCTAATATCTAGAATCTATAAGGAATTGAAATGATTGAACAAGCAAAAAACAAATAACCACATTAAAAAATGGGCAAAGGATATGAACAGACAATTCTAAACAGTGTCCACTGATCATATGAAAAATTTACAACACCATAAATCATCAGAAAAATGAAAATCAGATGAGATACTGAGAGGTGAAGCCAGCTGGGCTTCTGGGTCAGGTGGGGACTTGGAAAACTTTTCTGTCTAGCTAAAGGATTGTAAATGCACCAATCAGTGCTCTGTGTCTAGCTAAAGGTTTGTAAACACACTAATCAGTGCTCTGTGTCTAGCTAATTGGGTAGGGGACTTGGAGAACTTTTGTGTCTAGCTAAAGGATTGTAAATGCACCAATCAGCACTCTGTCTAGCTAAAGGTTTGTAAATGCACCGATCAGCACTCTGTCAAAACGGACCAATCAGCACTCTGTAAAATGGATCAGTCAGCACTCTGTAAAATGGACCAATCAGCTTTCTATAAAATGAACCAATCAGCAGGATGTGAGTGGGGTCAAATAAGGGAATAAAAGCAGGCCACCCGAGCCAGCAGTGGCTACCTGTTCAGGTCCCCTTCCACACTGTGGAAGCTTTGTTCTTTCGCTCTTTGCAATAAATCTTGCTGCTGCTCACTTTTTGGGTCCACACCACCTTTATGAACTGTAACACTCACCGCAAAGGTCTGCAGCTTTACTCCTGAAGTCAGCGAGACCACGAACCCACCAGGAGGAACGCATAACTCCAGACACACCACCTTTAAGAGCTGTAACACTCACTGCGAAGGTCTGCAGCTTCACTCCTGAAGTCAGCGAGACTACGAACCCACCAGAAGGAAGAAACTCTGGATATGTCCGAACATCAGAAGGGAAAAACTCCAGACACAACATCTTTAAGAACTGTAACACTCACTGCGAGGGTCTGTGGCTTCATTCTTGAAGTCAGTGAGACCAAGAACCCACCAATTCCGGACACATTTTGAAGACCATGAAGGGACTATCGCCTATCGCCAAGCGGTGAGTCCATCGCCTATTGCCAAGAGTTGAGTACCACTGGACTCCTTTCGCTTTCTATTCTGTCCTATTTTTCCTTAGAATTCGGGGGCTAAATACTGGGCAACTGTCAGCCAGTTAAAAGCGACTAGCGCGGCCGCCGGACTAAAGACATGGGTGTCAGGCTTTTTGGGAAAGGGCTTGCTAACAAACCCTGACTCTTCGGAGTCGGGAGCGTTGGTTTGCCTGGAACCAGCTTCCACTTTTCCTGTACTTCTGGGCTGAGCTGTGGGTCAGCAGAGAGGAAAGCCATTCAGCTCCAGGATCCCGACAACAAGTTGGTTGACCTGCGACCATGAGCGGAACTCTTAAAGGCATGTTGCCAAAGCAAGACTTGCCCATCTATCCTACCTATCCTGACCCTTGCCCCGTGGGTCCTAATGCCTACCAGACAAACTTCCTCTCGCCTCTGTTCTCCAAGGCTAGTCATGCTCCTAAAAACCACTCCCTGTCTCTGGTGCTTTTCTAATTTCTCCTGTAAGAATGATTTCTAGTATAAACTTCAGGACTCTGTTACCTTCTTTAGACACCCGGGCTCACCAATCAGAAAGACATAATTTTTGCCCAAAGCCCTGTTGTAGGGGGGACTATGTGGAATTTTAAGATCCCTCCTCAGATAAGCAGACCTAGCAAACGCTATTCCTGAAGCTAGGATATGAGGAGCCTCAGAAATTATATCCTTCCTATTCATATAAAAGGCATCACTCTTCCAAAAGGCATCACTCTTCCAACTCTGGAGATCCCTCCCCTCCCTCAGGGTATGGCCCTCCACTTGATTTTGGGGGCATAACATCTTTATAGGACAGGGGTAAGGTTCCAATACTAACAGGAGAATGCTTAGGACTCTAACAGGTTTTTGAGAATGCATCAGTAAGGGCCAGTAAATCCGACCTTCCTCGGTCCTCCTTGTGGTCTTGGAGGAAAACTAGTGTTTCTGCTGCACGTTGGTGAGCGCAACTGTTCCAATCAGCAGGGTCCAGGGACCATTGCGGGTTCTTGGGTTTCTGCTGCTGTGTCAGTGAGTGCAACTATTCCGATCAGCAGGGTCCAGGGACCATTGCAGGTTTTTGGGCAGGGGGGGATACAAAAAAACTAAAACCATGGGTGGTTTTGTCTTTCAGATGGGAAACACTCAGGCATCAACAGGCTCAACCTTGAAATACATTCTAAGCCATTGGGACCAATTTGACCCCCAAATCCTGAAAAAGAGGTGGCTCATTTTTTTCTGCACTATGGCTTGGCCCCAATATTCTCTTTCTGATGGGGAAAAATTGCCACCTGAGGGAAGTACAAATTACAATACTATCCTGCAGCTTGACCTTTTCTGTAAGAAGGAAGGCAAATGGAGTGTAATATCTTATGTCCAAGCTTTCTTTTCATTGAAGGGGAATACACAACTATGCAAAGCTTGAAATTTACACCCTACAGGAGGACCACACAGCTTACCCCCATATCCTAGCCTCCCTATAGCTCCCCTTCCTATTAATGATAAGCCTCCTCTAATCTCCCCTGCCCAGAAGGAAATAAGCAAGGAAATCTCCAAAGGACCACAAAAACCCCGGGCTATCGGTTATGTCCCCTTCAAGCTATAGGGGGAGGGGAATTTGGTCCAACCCGGGTACACGTCTCTTTCTTCCTCTCTGATTTAAAGCAGATCAAGGCAGACCTGGGGAAGTTTTCAGATGATCCTGATAGGTACATAGATGTCCTACAGGGTCTAGGGCAAACCTTCGATCTCACTTGGAGAGATGTCATGCTATTGGTAGATAAAACCCTGGCCTTTAATGAAAAGAATGCAGCTTTAGCTGCAGCCTGAGAGTTTGGAGATACTTGGTATCTTAGTCAAGTAAATGATAGAATGACAGCTGAAGAAAGGGACAAATTCCCTACTGGTCAGCAAGCCATCTCCAGTACAGATCCCCACTGGGACCTTGACTCAGATCATGGGGACTGGAGTCATAAACATCTGTTGACCTGTGTTCTAGAAGGACTAAGGAGAATTAGGAAAAAGCCCATTAATTGAATAATTGAATTAGGAAAAAGCCCATCATCATTGAATAATAATGTCCACCATAACTCAGAGAAAGGAAGAAAATCCTTCTGCCTTCCTCGAGCTGATATGGGAGACCTTAAGAAAATATACTCCCCTGTCACCCGAATCACTTGAGGGTCAATTGATTCTAAAAGATAAGTTTATTACCCAATCAGCCACAGATATCAGGAGAAAGCTTCAAAAGCAGGTCCTGGGCCCTGAACAAAATTTGGAGGCATTATTAAACCTGGCAACCTTGGTGTTCTACAATAGGGACCAAGAGGAACAAGCTCAAAAGGAAAAGCAAGATCAGAGAAAGGCCGCAGCCTTAGTCATGGCCCTCAGACAAACAAACCTTGGTGGTTCAGAGAGGACAGAAAATGGAGCAGGCCAGTCACCCGGTAGGGCTTGTTATCAGTGTGGCTTACAAGGACACTTTAAAAAAGATTGTCCAACGAGAAACAAGCCATCCCCTCATCCATGTCTGCTATGCTGAGGCAATCACTGGAAGGTGCACTGCCCCAGAAGACAAAGGTTCCCTGGGTCAGAAGCCCCCAACCAGATGATCCAACAACAGGATTGAGGGTGCCTGGGGCAAGTGCCAGCTCATGTCATCACCCTCACTGAGCCCTGGGTATGTTTAACTATTGAGGGCCAGGAAATTGACTTCCTTCTGGACACTGGTGCAGCCTTCTCAGTGTAAATCTCCTATCCTGGATGACTATCCTCAAGGTCCATTACCATCCAAGGAATCCTGGGACAGCCTATAACCAGGTATTTCTCCCACCTCCTCAGTTGTAATTGGGAGACTTTGCTCTTTTCACATGCCTTTCTTGTTATGCCTGAAAGTCCCACACCCTTATTAGGGAGGGACATATTAGCCAAAGCTGGAGCTATTATCTACATGAATACGGGGAACAAGTTACCCATTTGTTGTCCTCTACTTGAGGAGGGAATCAACCCTGAAGTCTGGGCATTGGAAAGACAATTTGAAAGGGCAAAAAATGCCCACCCAGTCCAAATCAGGCTAAAAGACCCCACCACTTTTCCTTATCAAAGGCAATATCCCTTAAGGCCTGAAGCTCATAAAGGAATACAGGATATTGTTAAATATTTAAAAGCTCAAGGCTTAGGAAGGAAAT
Organism: Homo sapiens; assembly: GCF_000001405.40. NCBI lineage: Eukaryota > Metazoa > Chordata > Mammalia > Primates > Hominidae > Homo > Homo sapiens. Next base: position 88,378 of record NW_003315913.1, on the reverse strand, counting down.
GCAGCAGTCCCTGCAACACCCCAATTCTAGGAGTACAAAAGCTGAATGGTCAATGGAGACTAGTGCAAGATCTTAGACTCATCAATGAGGCTGTATTTCCTCAGTATCCAGTTGTACCCAACCCTTATACCCTTCTCTCTCAAATACCAGAGGAAGCAGAATGGTTCACGGTTCTGGACCTCAAGGATGCCTTCTTCTGTATTCCCCTTCACTATGACTCCCAGTTTCTATTTGCCTTTGAGGATCCCACAGACCACACATCCCAACTTAAGTGGATGGTCTTGCCCCAGGGGTTTAGGGATAGCCCTCACCTGTTTGGTCAGGTACTGGCCCAAGATCTAGGCCACTTCTCAAGTTCAGGCACTCTGGTCCTTCAGTATGTGGATGATTTACTTTTGGCTACCAGTTCAGAAGCCTCATGCCAGCAGGCTACTCTAGATCTCTTGAACTTTCTAGCTAATCAAGGGTACTACGCATCTAGGTTGAAGGCCCAGCTTTGTTTACAGCAGGTTAAATATCTAGGCCTAATCTTAGCCAGAGGGACCAGGGCCCTTAGCAAGGAACAAATACAGCCTATCCTTGCCCTAAGACATTAAAACAGTTGTGGGTGTTCCTTGAAATCACCGGCTTTTGCCGACTATGGATCCCCAGATACAGTGAGATAGCCAGGCCCCTATATATTCTAATCAAGGAGACCCAGAGAGCAAATACTCATCTAGTAGAATGGGAACCAGGGACAGAAACAGCCTTCAAAACCTTAAAGCAGGCCCTAGTACAAGCTCCAGCTTTAAGCCTTCCCACAGGACACTTCTCTTTATACATCACAGAGAGAGCAGGGATAGCTCTTGGAGACCTTACTCAGACTAGTGGGACAACCTAAGGAAATTGATGTGGTAGCAAAAGGCTGGCCTCACTGTTTACAGGTAGTTGCAGTGGTGGCTGTCTTAGTGTAAGAGGCTATCAAAATAATACAAGGAAAGGATCTCACTGTCTGGATTACTCATGATGTAAATGGCATACTAGGTGCCAAAGGAAGTTTATGGCTATCAGACAATCACCTACTTAGATACCAGGCACTACTCCTTAAGGGACTGGTGCTTCAAATACAAACATGCATGGCCCTCAACCCTGCCACTTTTCTCCCAGAGGATGAGGAACCAATCGAGCATGACAGCCAACAAATTATAGTCCAGACTTATGCCACCCGAGATGATCTCTTAGAAGTCCCCTTAGCTAATCCTGACCTTAACCTATATGCCGATGGAAGTTCATTTGTGGAGAATGGGATACGAAGGTCAGGTTATGCCATAGTTACTGATGTAGCTGTACTTGAAAGTAAGCCTCTTCCCCCAGGGACCAGCACCCAGTTAGCAGAACTAGTGGCACTTACCCAAGACTTAGAACTGGGAAAGGGAAAAAGAATAAATGTGTATACACATAGCAAGTATGCTTATCTAATCCTACATGCCCATGCTGCAATATGGAAAGAAAGGGTTAGGGTTCCCCCTAATCTCTGGGGGTACTCCCAATAAATACACAAGGAAATTATGGAGTTATTGCATGCAGTGCAAAAACCCAAGGAGGTGACAGTCTGACACTGCTGAAGCCATCAAAAAGGGAAGGAGAAGGGAGAACAGCAGCATAACAGCTGGCAGAGGCAGCAGAAAGGAAAGAGAGAAAGAGACAGGAAGTCAGAGAAAGAGAAAGAGGAAGAAACAGAGACACAAAGAGAGGGAGTCAGAGAGGGAAAGAAAGAGAGACACAGAAAGAGAGAGAGGAAGAGACAAAGAAGGAGTCAGAGAGAGACAGAGAGAGGAAGAGAGAGAAAGAGACAAGAAGTCAAAGAGAAAGAAAGAGAGATGGAAGTAGTAAAGAAAAAACAGTGTACCCTATTCCTTTAAAAGCCAGGGTAAATTTAAGACCTATCATTGATAATTGAAGGTCTTCTCTGTAACCCTATAACACTCCATTACCACCTTGTTGTCAGTGTAAACAAGGGCATAGCCCAAAAGCACTGAGGTCACTGACAATCCGTAGCCTTTCTATCAAAAATCCTTAACTCAGAAGGTTTCCTAATAGGTGATCTAAATCTTAATTAATTACCATACAAAGGTCCAACCAGACCAAGGAGGAACTCCCTTCAGGACAGGATGATAGATGTTTCCTCCTAGGTGATTAAGGGAAAAAGACACAATGGGTATTCAGTAAGTGATAAGGAAACGCTAACAGAAGCAGAATTAGGAAAATTGCCTAATAGTTGGTCTGCTTAAACATGCGAGCTGTTTGCACTCAGCCAAATCTTAAAGTACTTACAGAATCAGGAAGGAGCTATCTATACCATTTCTAAGTTAATATGGGCTGAACAAGGTTTTATTAATAACAAAGAATAATTAAAACCCCAAACTACAAGGTTTTCAGCAAAAGTAAAGTTTGCTAAAAGTTAACAGTGTAACATGCATTATCCTACTACCACACACTCTCAAAGGATTTCTCAGACAGTTTGCAAGAAATAACAAAATCTATCCTTACTTTACAATCCCAATTAGACTCTTTGGCAGCAGTGACTCTTCAAAACCGCCGAGGCCTAGACCTCCTCACTGCTGAGAAAGGAGGACTCTGCACCTTCTTAGGAGAAGAGTGCTGTTTTTACACTAACCAGTGAGGGATAGTATGAGATGCCACCCGGCATTTACAGGAAAAGGCTTCTGGAATCAGACAAAACCTTTCAAACTCTTATATCAACCTCTGGATTTGGGCAACATGGCTTCTCCCCTTTCCAAGTCCTGTGGCATCCATCTTGCTATTACTCGCCTTCGGGCCCTATATTTTTAACCTCCTTGTCAGATTTGTTTCCTCTAGAATCAAGGTCATCAAGCAACAGATGGTCTTACAAATGGAACCCCAAATGAGTTCAACTAACAACTTCTACCAAGGACCCCTGGACCGATCCCCTGGCCCTTCCACTGGCCTAAAGAGTTCCCCTCTGGAGGACACTACAACAGCAGGGACCCTTCTTCACCCCTATCCAGCAGGAAGTAGCTAGAGCAGTCATTGGCCAAATTCCCAACAGCAGTTGTTTAGAGGGGGGATTGAGAGGTGAAGCTGGCTGGGCTTCTGGATTGGGTGGGGACTTGGAGAACTTTTCTGTCTTGCTAAAGAATTGTAAATGCACCAATCAGCGCTCTGTGTCTAGCTAAAGGTTTGTTAACGCACCAATCAGCCCTCTGTGTCTAGCTAATCGGGTAGGGGACTTGGAGAACTTTTGTGTCTAACTAAAGGATTGTAAATGCACCAATCAGCACTCTGTGTCTAGCTAAAGGTTTGTAAGTGCACCAATCAGCACTCTGTCAAAATGGACCAATCAGCACTCTGTAAAATGGACCAATCAGCACTCTGTAAAATGGACCAATCAGTAGGATGTGAGTGGGGCCAAATAAGGGAATAAAAGCAGGCCACCGGCGCCAGCAGCGGCAACCTGCTCAGGTCCCCTTCCATGCTGTAGAAGCTTTGTTCTTTTGCTCTTTGCAATAAATCTTGCCGCTGCTCACTCTTTGGGTCCACGCTGCCTTTATGAGCTGTAACACTGCAAAGGTCTGCAGCTTCACTCCTGAAGTCAGCAAGACCATGAACCCACTGGGAGGAATGAACAACTCCAGATGTGCCACCTTTAAGAGCTGTAACACTCACGGCGAAGATCTGCAGCTTCACTCCCGAAGTCAGCGAGACCACGCACCCACCAGAAGGAAGAAACTCTGGACACATCCGAACATCAGAAGGAACAAACTCCAGACACACCATCTTTAAGAACTGTAACATTCACTGCAAGGGTCCGTGGCTTCACTCTTGAAGTCAGTGAGACCAAGAACCCACCAATTCTGGACATAATACCATCTCACACCATTCAAAATGGCTCGTATTAAAATGTTCAAAAACAACAGATGCTGGCAAGGCTATGGAGAAAAGGAGTGCTTATAGACTATTGGTGAGAATGCAAATTAGTTCAGCCATTATGGAAAGCAGTTTAGAGCTTTGTCAAGGAACTTAAAATAGAACTACCATTTGACCCTGCAATGCCATTACTGGCTACATATCTAAAAGAAAATAAATCATTCAGTCAAAAAGACACATGCAGTAATATGTTCATTGCAGCACTATTCACAATAGCAAAGATATGGAATCAATCTAGGTGCCCATCAACAGTAGACTGAATAAAGAAAATGTGGTACATATACTCCATGGAATGCTATGCAGCCATTAAAAAAATGAAATAATATCCTCTGTGGCAAAATAGATGCTGCTGGAGGCCATGATCCTAAGTGAATTAATGCAGGAACAGAAAACCAATACCACATGTTCTCACTTATAAGTGGGAGCTAAACAATAGGTACACATGGACATAAAGATGGCAACAACAGAAACTGGAGACTACTATAGGGAGGGGACAGGTTGGGGGAGGGTTGAAAACCTAATTACTGGGTACTAGGCTCAGTACTTGCTTGATAGGATCAATCATACCCCAAACTTCAGCATCGTTCAATACATCCACGTAATAAACATGTACATGTACCCCCTAAATCTGAAATAAATGTCAAAGTTATAAAAAAATAAAAATAAAAGCTGGGTGCAGTGGTTTATGCCTGTAGTCCCAGCACTTTGGGAGGCTGAGGTAAGAGGATTGCTTGAGCCCAGGAGTTCAAGCCCAGCCTGGGCAAGATAGTAAGACCCCATCTCTACAAAAAATAACAAAATTAGCTAGATGTTTTGGTGCATGCGTGTGGTCCCAGCTACAGGGGAGGCTGAGACAGAAGGATTGCTTGAGCTCAGGAGGATAAGACTGTAGTGAGCTGTCTTTGAGCCACTGCACTCCAGCCTGGGTGACAGAGCAAGAACTTGTCTCAAAAAACAAATTTTTAATGAGATAAAATGAAATAAATAAAAATAAAACGTTAAAATGTAAAGCAAAACAAAACAGATTGCTAGGCACCAAACCCAGAGTTTCTAATTTAGTAGGTCTTGGGTGGGCCCCAAGATTATACAAGCTCCCAGGTATTATATTTATATAACAACTCTGTATTAACCAGACTTCCCTAGGTTAGTTTGTGACCAGTTTGACTATCTCTACTGGGCTCTTTGCTGACTCCAAACTGTAGTTGGTTGAATTGAATATCTAAATCAGAAATACCAAATGATGTAAAATTCAAATTTAAGACTTTCTTTTATTTAATGTGATTTAATTCTGAAATTTTTCGCACACAATATTATTTGTCAGCCATCCTTTTTGTGTTTTGTAATTTTTTAATTTAAATGGAAGTGAACTTTCATGTTTATATGTTTAAAAAAGGAAAGAGGATATTTTGATAATCTCTATGTTATCTCCCAGCAGGGTACTTATCAAGTGGAAGAGGAAAATAGTGACTTTGTAATGGAGAAACCTAGCAGAGACCACAGTAAATTAAATTAATGTGACTAAATTTAGCATCAACAGTAATGCATTAAGAAGGACCCAGAATCATTTCTGTAGCATTTCTGTAAAAAACACATAACTTGGATTTAATCATGAGGACACATCAGACAAATCCAAACACAAATCCACCAGCTTTTACTGTTCAAAGTGTTCAGGGTCATAAAAGACAAAGAAATATTAAAGGAATGTCTCAGATTAAAAGACATTTAAAAACTAAATGCATTGTATAATTTTGAATTGGTTATGACCAGAAAAGGACATTAAGGGCACAACTTATTAAATTTGAATAGATCTGTAGATTAGTTAGCAGTATTGTCAGAGGTGTGTGAACCAAAGAAGCTCCATCTTGAATAGGAGCTGGGTAAGATGAGGCTGAAACCTACTAGGTTGCATTTCCAGAAGGTTAAGGCATTCTAAGTCACAGGATGAGACAGGAGGTCGGCACAAGATACAGGTCATGAAGATCTGGCTGATAAAACAGGCTGCAGTAAAGAAGCCATTTAAATTTCACCAAACCAAGATGGCCATGAGACTGACCTCTGGTCATCCTCACTGCTACTACACTTCAACCAGTGCCATGACAGTTTACAAATGCCATTGCAATGTCAGGAAGTTACCCTTTATGGTCTAAAACAGGGAGGCATGAATAGTACACCCCTTGTTTAACCTATTATCAAGAACTAACTATAAAAATGGGCAACCAGCAGCCCTCGACACTGCTCTATGGAGTAGCCATTCTTTTATTCCTCTATTTTACTAGTAAACTTGCTTTTACTTTGCACTGTGGACTCACCCTGAATTCTTTCTTGCATGAGATCCAAGAACCCTCTCCTGGGGTCTGGATCAGGACCCCTTTCTTCTAACAGTGTTATATTATGAAAGTTGTCTGAAACAAAATGGAGTCACTTGTGTTAAAAGCCCTGATAAACATAGCCAGAAAAGGCCATAAAGAGAGGATTCTAATACATGAGTCCCTGACAACACGAACTATAACAAAAGAGTTCAAAACCCACAACCTTACACAAAGGCCATCACAACCTTACACAAAAAATTACTTCTGTGAGGACATCTGCCCAGAAAATGCCTGTCTAGGCAACCTACAGAATGGGAGAAAATTTTTGCAATCTACTCATCTGACAAAGGGCTAATATCCAGAATCTACAAAGAACTCAAACAAATTTACAAGAAAAAAACAAACAGCCCCATCAAAAAGTGGGCAAAGGATATGAACAGTCAGTTCTCAAAAGAAGACATTTATGCAGCCAACAGACACATGAAAAAATGCTCATCATCACTGGTCATTAGAGAAATGCAAATCAAAACCACAATGAGATACCATCTCATGCCAGTTAGAACGGCGATCATTAAAAAGTCAGGAAACAACAGATGCTGGAGAGGATGTGGAGAAATAGGAAGGCTTTTACATTGCTGGTGGGAGTGTAAACTAGTTCAACCATTGTGGAAGACAGTGTGGCGATTCCTCAAGGATCTAGAACTAGAAATACCATTTGACCCAGCCATCCCATTACTGGGTATATACCCAAAGGATTATAAATCATGCTACTATAAAGACACATGCACACAAATGTTTATTGCAGCACTATTCACAATAGCAAAGACTTGGAACCAAGCCAAATGTCCATCAATGATAGACTGGATTAAGAAAATATGGCACATATACACCATGGAATACTATGCAGCCATAAAAAATGATGAGTTCATGTCATTTGCAGGGACATGGATGAAGCTGGAAACCATCATTCTCAGCAAACTATCACAAGGACAGAAAACCAAACACCGCATGTTCTCACTCATAGTGGGAATTGAACAATGAGAACACATGGACACAGGGTGGGGAACATCACACACTGGGGCCTGTCTGGAGAAATACCTAATGTAAATGATGAGTTGAAGGATGCAGCAAGCCAACATGGCACATGTATACCTATGTAACAAACCTGCACGTTGTGCACATGTACCCTAGACTTAAAGTATAATTAAAAAAAAAAAAAAGAAAATGCCTATCTAAATTTGGACTGGTGCCACTCTTGCTATTGATCCTTGTAACAAAGAATATATATTTCAAGCTGATTATGTAATCAGTCTTGTTTAAAAAAAAATCTTTGTCTTCCTTTACCTCCCTGAGAACACACATAATTTACTATGGCATACATATTCCCATCACAATGCCTATTTCTGAATAAATACCATTTTGTTTTGGACAGTCTCCCTCCTGTTTGTTATGTTAATGTTAATTAACCTTAATGTTAATTTGCTGGGTTTTATAACTCTATTGTGGTTATGTAAAATGCTAACATTTGGGGATGCTTGGTGAATAACACTGTAATAGGAAATAAAATTTTTTAGGCTGGGCACAGTGGCTTATGCTTGTAATCCCAGCACTTTGGGAGGCCGAGGCGGGTGGATCACAAGGTCAGGAGTTCAAGACCAGCTTGGCCAATATGGTGAAACCCTGTCTTTACAAAAATACAAAAATTAGCCAGGCATGGTGGCACATGCCTGTAATCCCAGCTACCAGGGAGGCTGAGGCAGAAGAATTGCTTGAACCCAGGAAGCAGAGGTTGCAGTGAGCCGAGATCATGCCACTGCACTCCAGCCCGGGCAACAGAGCGAGACTCCATCTCAAAAAAGAAAAAAAATTTAAATAGAAATTTTTTCTAGTGCAAAAAGGGAAGGACTCCCTTTCCCTATCCTTTCCCTTCAGAGCATTTTCTTTGGAAAACTTGTAAATTATTTTACTGTCCCTTTGAAATGTAGACAATCCTTTTTAAAACCTAAATACCTAAACAAGCTTTTTTCCAGCTTTATAACTCAGGAATGTCTTTATCAAATACCTGGGGTCATCTAGGAGCCTAACTTCAGCTGGAGGCACCTTGAGCATTACCAGCTGTCATAAAAATAGTTGTTTATTTTCTCTTTGGATAAAGCCAATTAGCTAGCATGGAGAGTAATTACAATGACCAGGTGAATTTAGGTTGAACTAAATGCAACAAATGGTGCACTCAAGTCCTCTTACTTGAGTACCAGTTATTGCTTATCTTGAGAACGTGTAAATAATATCTGGGTGAAAATTCTTTTAATCTTTGCAATCCTTTTATCAAATCTGATAAAATGCCTATAATGCACATCACATTCTGTTGCTTATTCAATTATAAAACTGTTTTCTTTCTCTTCTGTCACTGGGGAGAGGTTTTCTGAGTTGGGAGGAGGCTTTGTATTGAATTCGATTTTCCTAATGATTCTGGCGAAGGGGGCAGAACATCTGACAGTTCCTGAATTGAGCAGAGCAGCTGAAGGTCTGTGGCCACACAAAAGTCAGGTAAGAGATCATGAATTATAAAAGTCTTCATTCTAGCTCTCTGCTCTTTTGCAACACTAGCCAGATCAACCACCCTCTCCAAATTCAAGATTTTGCTGTTGAATAAGCACGGGTAAATCATGAAGTATCTAAAATCCTATCAGGGTCTCCATATGGTTGGAAAGTATAAGAAGCCAGGGATATTGCTTATAGGTCTTCCTCTTAAAGAACTTTTCTCACATTTGTAATGGGCACATGAGAATCCAGTCTACTGGCCTGAGGGCAGATCTTCTGATGTGGTTAAATAAATAAATTTGCAAGTCTTCTTTGACAGGCATCATGAAAGCAAATGAATTACTAGAATGAAAAACATCTTAAGAAAAAAAATTTAAAACAATTTAGATAACGAAAAGACTCAGAAAAACAGAAGAAGAAACGTAAGAATTAAAGGCATTTTCACTTCCATAGACCCTCCCTCCTCTCTTCTCTACTGCCCTGTTTCCTCTGCTCTCTCTGCAAACTCTTAGTCCTTCGTGACTCAACCTGACTCTGGGGAAGGTGAGAGAAGGAATGATCTTTAGACAGTGGTTTCTTTCATTAGTAGATTCCCCCGTAAAGAGTAACGAAGTTAAAGTCCCTCTAACTACTTTAGCTGGGAATGAATTACCGGCTGTGTTTGAGGACACAGGTTTGTGTGCCTGGCATTCTAACCCTGAGTCCATTTTATTTCTTAGTCCAGATTCCATCTCCAAGTGTTCCTCCTCATCACACACCATATAGCTGGGAAGCAGGCATGCTAAAGAGACCCGATCAGGAAATAATGCATAATTTGGACAAAAGATTGTGTCCCCATATGAAGGCAATGGAATGGATATTGGCTACATTAGTCACCTGGAAAAAGGTAAACAAACAAGGTGTTAAGCTGGTGAATGTCAACACAGGAAGGGAGACCAAGATGCCACATAAGTTACATTTTTCTTGTCTCAACTGAAGAAAATTGGCCCTTCCTATTTAGGCTGCCTGCAAACCTGATATCAATGAGAAGCTATCGAGGACTCCTGAGTAATTCACATGCCTTTCTCATCAGCTGTTATTACTTATTTAAAGACTTCTTTATGTTTCTAAAGTTTGCAGAAAACAGCATGTCTTCAGTTTACAGCCCCACACAGGAAGCTGAGTACTGGCTACCGCATGGAATTCTGCAACCTGCAGACTGCTTCTTTGAGGCAGCAAGTACATCAAGGAGTATGTGGCCAAGGGAAGCTGGCTCTCTACCACCTTCTTACTACATGGAATATGTGAGGGCACTAGAGACTCATCAGAACGGATTGCTGAGGACCATACTGACCATACTTGAAGTCTTTCAGCTAATGGTGAGCTGGAAGAAATTGCTACAGTGTATCTAGAAAATGGGTGAATACCCACTGATTTCCATCAGTGGTTTCTTGAGACTTTCTGAAAAATTATTGACATGGATGCAAGGGCAGATCAAAATCACTCTCTGGCCCTAATCACCTTTTTCTTGACTCTCTCGCTGATTTTCCAAACACAAGTTAGGAGAAAAGTGGTAGCATGACAAAAACAGTCTATTACCCAAATCTTAACAAAGGCTACTTAGTTTTGGGGGATAATCTAGAGAAAGAGAAGAAAAAAATAAAATAATAAATTAAAAAGAATTAAAAGGAACAACCCCCACTCTGGACAAACTATTAAGAGAAGAAAGAGATGAGAGAAAATACAGCATTATTGCAAGAAGCTAGTATATCAGAAGAGGATTCTGGAAGATGCAGGAATTGTAGTGTGTCCGGAATTAGTGGGTTCTTGGTCTCATTGACTTCAAGAATGAAGCCGCGGACTCTCGCGGTGAGTGTTACAGCTCTTAAGGTGGCGCATCTGGAGTTTGTTCCTTCTGATGTTCGGATGTGTTCGGAGTTTCTTCCTTCTGGTGGGTTCGTGGTCTTGCTGGCTCAGGAGTGAAGCTGCAGACCTTTGCGGTGAGTGTTACAGCTCATAAAGGCAGTGTGGACCCAAAGAGTGAGCAGTAGCAAGATTTATTGCAAAGAGTGAAAGAACAAAGCTTCCACAGTGTGGAAGGGGACCCCAGCGGGTTACCACTACTGGCTCAGGCAGTCTGCTTTTATTCTCTTATCTGGCCCCACCCACGTCCTGCTGATTGGTAGAGCCGAGTGGTCTGTTTTGACAGGGCGCTCATTGGTGCGTTTACAATCCCTGAGCTAGATACAAAGGTTCTCCACGTCCCCATCAGATTAGTTAGATACAGAGTATGGACACAAAGGTTCTCCAAGGCCCCACCAGAGCAGCTAGATACAGAGTGTCGATTGGTGCACTCACAAACCCTGAGCTAGACACAGGGTGCTGATTGGTGTGTTGACAAACCTTGAGCTAGATACAGAGTGCCGATTGGTGTATTTACAACCCCTGAGTTAGACATAAAGGTTCTCCAAGGGCCCACCAGACTCAGCTAGATACAGAGTGTCCATTGGTGCACTCACAAACCCTGAGCTAAACACAGGGTGCTGATTGGTGTGTTTACAAACCCTGAGCTAGATACAGAGTGCCAATTGGTGTATTTACAATCCTTGAGCTAGACATAAAGGTTCTCCAAGGGCCCACCAGACTCAGCTAGATACAGAGTGTCGACTGGTGCACTCACAAACCCTGAGCTAGACACAGGGTGCTGATTGGTGTGTTTACAAACCTTGAGCTAGATATAGAGTGCCGATTGGTGTATTTACAATCCCTGAGCTAGACATAAAGGTTCTCCAAGGCCCCACCAGACTCAGGAGCCCAGCTGGCTTCACCCAGTGGATCCCGCACCAGGGCTGCAGGTGGAGCTGCCTGCCAGTCCCACGCCATGCGCTCTCACTCCTCAGCCCTTGGGTGATCGATGGGACTGGGCACTGTGGAGCAGGGGGCGGCGCTCGTCGGGGAGGCTTGGGCTGCACAGGAGCCCACGGAGGTGGGGGAAGGCTCAGGCATGATGGGCTGCAGTCCCCAGACCTGCCCCACAGGAAGGCAGCCAAGGCCCAGCAAGAAATCGAGCACAGCGCTGGTGGGCTGGCACTGCTGGGGGACCCAGTACACCCTCTGCAGCCGCTGGCCCGGGTGCTAAGTCCTTCATTGCCCGGGGCGGGCAGGGCTGGCTGGCTGCTCCAAGTGCAGGGCCTGCCAAGCCCACGCCCACCCGGAACTCCACCTGGCCCGCAAGTGCAGCACGCAGCCCCGGTTCCCACTCACGCCTCTCCCTCCACACCTCCCTGCAAGCTGAGGAAGTGGGCTCTGGCCTTGGCCACCCCAGAAAGGGGCTCCCACAGTGCAGCAGTGGGCTGAAGTGCTCCTCAAGTGCTGCCAAAGTGGGAGCCCAGGCAGAGGAGGCGCCGAGAGCGAGAGAGGGCTGTGAGGACTGCCAGCACGCTGTCACCTCTTAATCCCCTCTCTAAACAGGACACCCCAACTGCTGTTGGGAATTTGGCTGATGACTGCTCTAGCTACTTCTTGCTGGATAGGGGCGAAGAAGGGGCCCTGCAGTTTTAGTGTCTTTCAGAGGGGAGCTCTCTAGGCCAGGGGCAGTGCCAGCGGGTCGGTCCAGGGGCCCTCGGTAGAAGTTGTTAGTTGAACTCATTTGGGTTTCCATTTGTAAGACCATCTGTAGCTTGATGGCCTTGATTCTAGAGGAAACAAATTTGACAAGAAGGTTAAAAATACAGGGCCCAAAGGCGAGTAACAGCAAGATGGCTGCCACAGGACCTAGAAAGGGGAGAAGCCATGTTGCCCAACTCCAGAGGTTGGTATAAGAATTTGAAAGGCGTTGTTTGATTTCAGAAGCCTTTTCCTGTAAATGCCGGGCGGCATCTTGTACTATCCCTGACTGGTTAGTGTAAAAATAACACTCTTCCCCTAAGAAGGTGCAGAGTCCTCCTTTCTCAGCAGTGAGGAGGTCTAGGCCTCGGTGGTTTTGGAGAGTCACTGCTGCCAAAGAGTCTATTTGGGATTGTAAAGTAAGGTTAGATTTCGTTATTTCTTGCAAACTGTCTGAGAGGCAGATATGGGGTGAAGATCCACATAAGTAGAATATGCCTTGGCTGGGTAGATAGACATTTACCCTGGCTTTTAAAGGAATAGGGTACACTGTTTTTCCTTTACTACTTCCATCTCTCTTTCTCTTTGACTTCTTCTTTGTCTCTTCCTCTCTTTTTAACTTTCTCTTTGACTTTCTGTGTCTGTCCTTCTTTCTCTCTGACTCCTTTTCACGTCACCTCTCAGTAGGAATACAGGAAGCATGAAAGTCCGGAGACTAGGAAATAATTGTCAAAGGGCTTAAAATGAACCGGCTTAGGGAATCTTGGAAGTAGGAACTGGTGTTACTTATTCTGCAATTTCCTAGGGCATTTCTTGCTTCTATTTGGTGATAAAGATAGGGTGTTGGTATTTGGGATCCATCTTGTTCCTATTCCTGTATGGTTCCCCTACAGATTGGCTATATAACTGAAGAGCATATTTTCTTACTTTTTTTCTGATTTCCTGTATCCCCTGGGGAGAGACCCGCTGTGCAATTTTTAAACTACCATATTCTGTACCTCCAGACAGAGTGTATGTGGGGCTCCATACTATATGCCTTTGAAAGAAAAAGGGTATGGCAGAGGGGGCCAGTCCCAGACCACAGTGGAAAAACACACTGAGCTGAAACAGATCCATGCATTGCTTGGCCTTAGAGCTCAAATAAAATGGATAAAACCAGTTATGAAAGAATCAAAACAATAAGGGATAATTACAAAGGGCACTAATCCTGTGATACCCCCATACTTCCATTAAAGAAGTCAGGTAAATTTGATAAAGATGGTTGATCTCTATATAGCTTTCCACAAAATTTCAGGAAAGTAAATGAATTTGCTGTTCTATTAATCTCTATAGTCCCTAACATGACGATTATTCTGACTTCTGACTTTGGTACCATTGTCTGAAAATGTTTTCTCTAGAACTGGTCTACACTTTCCCTCCCTCCCTCCTTTTCTCCCTTCCTCCCTTCCTTCTCCTTCCTTTCTCTCTCTCTCTCAGGGTGACAAATAGGGATTCTCTGAGCCAAAAATGCTCATTAAAGGAATCCTACATTCTGCAGAAATGGGACAACAGTAATCCTCCACTATTCTTAGTCCTCTGCTGGGAACATTCCTAGAGAAGTGTAGTCATAACTAGAATATGGTGGTAGATGCAGAGGGGCAACTGCTGTAGCTGGTTCTGTTAAGGAGGTCTGAGTGGTACATTTCCATAGCTGCCACATAGTGAGATACTTTTTAACAATAAAAGGAATGAAACTCTAATCTACACAACCACCTGAATAGGTCTCAAAAAGATTATGTTGTGCCAAAGAGGTCAGATACAAAAGAGTGCATGACACCATTTATATAACATGACACCATTTATATAAAATTCTAGATAATTCCTACAGTACAATAGCAGATCAGTGGGTGCCTAGGGTCAGGGAAGAGGGGTAAGGATTAGCTGGACAGGGGCACAAGGAAACCGTCTGAAGTAATAGAAATGTTCTGTTAAATGTGGTGGTGGTTACACTGCTTTGTATATTTGCCAAATTCATAGAACTTAAAATGGGTGCATTTTCTTGTAGGTGAATTACACCTTAATAAAGCTGACTTCTTAGGACAATCTACCTTCTCAATAAGCTGTTGCTGCTACCCTGGTTTTAAACATTTTTTTGTAAAACTTAATTTTTTCCTAATGTTTCTACTGTTTTGGCATTTTTTCATTTTATTATGAAAGATGATTAACATTCAGAAGATTATGTAAAATGTGTACTCATTTAAAAATAATACTACTAATAATAAAGCAAACACTACATACTTACCACCCAGGATAAAAGGAGAAAGCATTGCTGATGCCTTAGAAGGTCCATGCGCCTCCCCACTTCCTCCCCCTTCATATAGGTTCATATAACTCTCTTAGTTCTGTACTATACATGTTAGAAGCCCTGGAATTCTGTCTCCTACTCACTTCTTCTGCTTAGACCTTTCTGCATGATGTTGTCTAGCTTTTTTTGTTTTCAGAGATTATCTATATGCTGATCCATCTTCTAAAACTCCAAATATTTTATGGCAGATGTAAATTTATTGTCACAACAGGCAAATCTTGAAAAATGCAAGTCTATTTGCTTGCTATAGTGAAACTTCACATAGCCCTTATTTTGTCTTAAGTGCCCATGAGGGGAAGTTTCATTCCTGTTAATTCAGAGTAAACTGAGTTACTGGCAGCTTAAAATTCATCATCTTTTGGGTAACCACTCAGTCAAATTAGGATGTTCCTTCGCTGAATTTTCCTTGCCTTATCATCAAGCGATACTCTATGTTCTGGGTTAGTAGACAAGGTATTAACATCTGCTCTCTGGCAGCCTCTGCCAAGACTTACTTATGCCTAACATATTGATCCCTAGTGCCAAGAAATATATCTGCTAAAATAATCAGTGCATTTCCTCTTTCCTACTCCTTTTCTTCAAAGCTTCCTATTTCTTGAAAAGTCTAGAACTTGTATGAAAGTGAGATTGTAAAAACTTAAATAAGATTATCTATTCAACACTATTACAAGCTTCCAGTTTAGTTTGTTTTAAAACTTCTAGTCATTGACAGTCTTGAATAAATTAGCCTACAAGATCATAAATCAATATGCCTATTAATATTATAAATCAATTTAAAAACTGAGGCATTTCTGAAAAACTGTAGACACCAAATTGTGGGTCCTCACCCTATATACAGCAAACTCATAGATTTCAGAAACCTGTTTTTCCACTCTTTTCATCACTGTTTTTGGCATAACATCTTACAGCAAATTATAAAGATACTACTACTAAAAGGAGAAATAGTTGACAGCTTTGATTATTCAATTCATCAACAAATGCTGAGTAATGTCAAGGGGACAAAAGTGGAGTATTCCCTTTTTGTTATAATGAATAATAATTTTTTTGATGATTGAAACCAAATTGTACTCAACTCTGTCCTTCTGCAGGTTCTTGGAATAGCCCCGTGTTTATAGAAACACACACACACACACACACACAAGTTGAACTAAGCCAACTTAACAGGTAGAGAGGTTAAAGTAAACTTTAAACTCTCTAATTTGTAAGATTTATTCTTAGGATACCAAAATACAGATCAAAAAGCCACTTGGTGGCCGGGCAAGGTGGCTCACGCCTGTAATCCCAGCACCCTGGGAGGCGGAGGCAGGTCAATCACCTGAGGTCAGGAGTTCCAGACCAGCCTGACCAACGTGGTGAAACCCTGTCTCTACTAAAAATAAAAAAAATTAACTTGGTGTGGTGGCGCATGCCTGTGATCCGGGCTACTTGGGAGGCTGGGGCAGGAGAATTGCTTGAACACAGGAGGTGAAGGTTGCAGTGAGCCGAGATCACACCACTGCTCTCCAGCCTGGGTGGCAGAGAAAGGCTCCGTCTCAAAAAAAAAAAAAAAAAAAAAAAAAAAAAAGGCCACTTGGTAATATCTGGACTTATGAATTTTCATAACTCATAACAATGAACTTTTCCAAGCTGATTATGCCCTTTACTCAGCCTGGTTTGGCACCTTCTCTTTCAGAATACATCAATGCCTCCTTTGCATATAGACTAATTCATTCCTTCTTTGGGGAAAGTAGACCTTGAAACTCTTTGTAACACATCATGGCTATTGGTGTCCAATCAATGGGGGTAGACAAACATATATTGCAAGATAACTCACATTACTGTTTTTCTTATGAGCTAATCGAAGTAAAAACACTGAGAAATCTATTATTGAAAATTTTAGGTTTTTCATCTCATAAAATATTTTGTGATTGAAATAAATATTAAACGAACCACTGAGAGGCAGTATAGTCCCCAAAATTATTTTTTCTTCTCATGAAAAGACAGGCATACTTTGAAACCAAAGCGTACCAATATTGCTGTCAAATATTTTAATGTACATAAGAGAAGAGAAAATCACCAGCCGTATCTCATTCTTCTGACTTGTTTTAACCAACCAGAAAACTAGCCATTTTAGAAACAGAAACTTGAAAACTAGAAAATTGAAAACTACAGTATTAAGAAAAAATGGTTTCACAGCAAGATCATAAAGTGTGTTTATATTTTTAAGGGAACAGTAAGGAATGAATCTAAAGATCCATTTGTTAGGGATCTTATTTTAACCAAGTGTCTATTTTTGGTAAGTAATTTTACTAAAACAAATTCAATGGAAAAATTCAGAAGCAAGGGTTAAATGATCCACTGTGAAGGTATAAGACAGATTTGTAAAACTAAACAAAAGCAAACTCATAGTAAAATATTTCAGTTGAACCGACAGAACTTTTTTGGTTCCTGCTCCATCTGCAGATGATACTAGTCCCTCACTGTGCCACACATCATGTGGCCTCTGGAAAACAACAACAACAACCACACAAAAAAAAAAAAAACAGGACACATGAAGCATTTTACAAAAATAAATATTTTTCTCTTGCAATATTTTGCAAAAAATGTCCAGGTTTCAGAATAACTGTCTATTTAAAAATATATATATAGAAGGTACTTAAAGTAAAAACCCATAAAGAAACAAAAAATGTTACCAAAGTTAGTCTGTTCAAGGTTGGAAAATAAAAATTCATTCACTTGATTTTTATATCTGCAAGGGTCAAAGGTCATCATATATCTCTAGTTATCAGTATTTCAAAAGTCAGAGAGGTAGCAACTTAAGAAAGGGCTCAAGGCTTCACTACTGAGGAATTAGTGCTCTGTGGGATGTTTTGCTCTTTAAAGTTTATCTGAGGATATAAAGTATCTTTCTTCCCAACTGTTATCTGAGGTGTGTAACCACAATGGCAGCAGGGCAAGGTGTCCATTTTGCCCACTCAGTGTCTGTTTCTGGTCATTTCATCTCCAAAGTGAAGATTTAACCACACAAATTTGTTTAGCTATTTTCTAATTCAGTATCACTAATTTGATGTTTTCTTTATTTAGTTGGTTTTATTTATTTAAAAATGTACTGGTTGATATGGTTAACAAACTAAATCCATAGGAAACTATAATTTCGTATTTTATTTCTCCCTGGAGGATCTGTGAAGCTCCCGAGGTCATAGTCTTCTTGCCAGAAGGACTTTCATTACCCTTATAAACATATGTATTCCAAGGCTAGTATTTAGACAACATCCAATACACTCCTACTAAGTTTTGCCTGAAATACTTATAAATGTAGAGATATTTTTCTTCTTTCAAGATTCCCATAGTGTCAATGTTCCTATCCTACCAGAAGTGATATTCTTTCCAAGCTGGTAAGTCTGGGACCTATAAATCATAGAGCAGGCACCAGGGAGTACACAGTAGCCTCAAGAAGAATATCCCCTGTTCTTCAATATTGGACTTAGCATGCTTGATTTAATAAAATTTATCTGTAGCTGTGGCATTTCTGTAACACTCATGGTTATAAATTTGATTTGTTCAATTATATCCTGTAAAGAAGAAAGATTTATGTTGAAACTATGTAAATAACCACATTGTAATAAAAAGCAACAGGACACTTTGGAGGCATTATGCCTAATGTTTAACTATTGTTCTGAGCAGTTTGGTCAACACAACAATAATGTGTTTTTTAGTTTGGCAAAATCATCTTCCTTAAATTTTTCCGATGATTTATTAGTTATTTTGTATATTAGATTTTTTTAAACTTCTTTGAATTCTAACGTGTCAATTGAAAAAGATAACATTTAAAGAGTTTTTCCAGTTTGTAGAAGTATACTTAGTCTGTTAACATCGATAGATCAAGAAGAAAGAAAGATGGGCGTTGTTATATTTCAATTAAAAACTAAAACATCAACCACAACTTAATTTTCTCATCAGTGTCATTCAGACTGAGGTCATTACTTCTTATTCATTTTATCTTGAATTATTTCACAACATCATCTGTATTTGCACCAAGAGTGTTAGAAATCCTCAGTCTGCTCACGGGAGGAGGAAGCATGTGCACCTTAGGCTATTCCATGCAGAACCCATTGTTAAGAGCATGCAGTAAAATCCTTTACTGAAGTCATCATTCTTTTGATATTTCTTCTAGAATACTCTGAATCTTGTAGCAGAGGACTTTATGCAAGTGTGAAGGAAAAGCAGAACCACTTTTTACTTACAGGACTAAAATACTCTTGGTGATTTTATTACAATAATGAACAAAATCAGAATGGGGAACAGTGAAGTCCTGCACTGAAGTTTCACATGAATAAATATTTTAAGAATTTAGTAAATGATTACTCTAAAAATAAGAATATATTATTGATGAAGTTACTGATGAGTTTGTAAGGTCCTTTAATTTATCCTATAAAATGTGTGTTATGATTGTCACAATTGGCAAGCGATTTTAAACTTAAAAAGTAACTCTGTTTCAAATCAACTTAGTTATTCTGGCAGTCTTTATGCATTACCTTAACTGTTCCTATTCATTTGTCCAAAAGTACACATTTATTGAAATATATTCATTTTGTATATAATTACCATAAGAGAGATCAGCTTTCCTTTTTGATTTGTCAGCGCTTCTTTTATCTTGAGTTTGGCAAACAGGACAGTTTTGACAGTAGTGTTAAGCTAATTAAAATTATGGCACAATCATATATACATATGCAATCATTTTTCTTATCCCTCCTCATGAAGAGAAAGGGCAAAGTATTGGTGGTGTCTAGTAGTCTTTTGGGGTAAAAAACATATTGATAGTTTTTATTATTCTGGTTTGGAGGCGAATTTGTTGCTCAAAAGGAGGCCGTATATAAGTTCTAACAGTTTTAAAGATAATAAACAGTTATAGGAAACAGTTGTAATTTTGACTTAGGTTGAAAATCCAACTCAGCAGTAAGTAATAAATATTAGAAACTCTAGCCTTTTGAGACTTCAAATTTCGTTAGAAATGGATTCAAAAGCATGAAAAAAATCACACACACCCACACACAAACACATACACACACAAACGGGCTCTTGAGTGAGAGTGTTTTAATAATTATAACAATCTTTGCTATCAAAGAATAAAATCACATAGTGCTTCTTGTTAAGAGCAGACTATATATTCAAAGATTAATTTTTCTTTCAAATATTTATCTTCTTTATCATCTGTAAGCTTCCTTTAATAATTTTAAAATCTTGATACATATTTTTAGCCATACATTAATGCACATATAGTTAAAGGTTAGTCTTAAATTATCTCAGAATGCAAATTGCTATTTTCCCCTCTCTGTGGCAAGTGATGCTTCATTAAAGTGGCTAAGAACAAGGGCCAGGTTTTTCTTCTCAACCTAGAGACAGAAAAGAAAGAGCTATCACAGAGGGAATCCAATATAATTTTTTGTCCTGGAAAGATAAAACTTAAAGTTCCTGGGTAAATGTAACTCCCCCTTCCAAAATGAATACAGCAGGCTTACATTTGTTTAATCGATCAGATGAAAAAACTGTGGCCTGAAGAAGATAAGTGCCACATAGACCAATTTTTAAAAAAAAATTCATCCTGTTTTAAAATGGCGAGAATCAAAGGTTACATACATGTGCCTAGTAATAACCCACTGTTTAATGAGCTGACAGTTAAGGAATTAATGATCTACTTAAATATCTCCAGGAAAAGATGAAGAACAATCATTTAGAACAGTTCTTATACATCAAATCACATAAGCATTGGGTCCTTTGAAATCCTAAGAGGTAGAAAAAACTGAAATTAGCAAGTAAGTTTAAGAAGAATTAAAAGAACTTTAAGAGTGGAAGTTTCAAACTTGCTATTTACAGGCTGTATACTTTGTTGACTAGCCATACTTTCTCTTAAAAACATCTTTACCATAATTTTTTTAACTGCTGAGGTTGAAAAGAAAAACAGGAGAAAAACATAACTGATTTGTCTGATGCAGTTGGGCATGCCCTATACATTTAGATTCCTGCCTATCTGCAACACCACAAGTATATATTTTAATATAAAAAATATCCCTGGAAGTTCCGGCAAATCATTCAGAATAACCTAGGTTGTGTCAGAAATTAAGGTACATATATCACCATTTCATGGTAATTTTTAGGATATAAACAACATTCTATTCCTTAGGAGAAAACAATGAGGGAGTGGGATCTTAACCATAGATTTGTTGAAAGGATGGTTATTCTGCAGAAAAGCCCTTTTAATGTGACTTGTTTTAATAGAGAATATTTAAATGGCACCAAAATATTTGAAAGGCTACCCAAAAAGTTTTAATGCAAAAGAGAATGGTTTCTTTTCTTTTTTGAAAAAAAATCTGTTATTAATTACAGGATTAAGACTTGCACAATTGGAAACAAATGGCTTTATTTCATAAACCATCTTTTGAATAAACACACAACTCCAAAACAGAAAAATAAACCCAGGTTAAATATCTCATGATTTTGAGATAGGCCTAAGCCAAACTATCTTTCACCAAAAGAGCTTTACTTACAAAAGCAAAAACTATGTACTAGGTAGAAAGTAATAATCTCTGTGGCCCCCCAAATTATCCAATTTCTTTGTATGTTACATTATTGTACATTGATAAAGTAGTGTTTTCAAAGTTTCATAGCTGTTTGTAAGACACCCCTAAATCAGAGGGACCCTATAGGATACAAACAAAGCTGGATTCCTTTGAACAAAACAGGTAAATATTCTGTAATAAAGTGAGTTTATCTCAAAGTATCTGGACTTTAAACAATCGTAATCTTAACTTGTAGTAGTCTTAATTAAATTCTAATTTAAGTAAATGTTGTTTTGCTGTTATACAAATAGCAAAACTTGCAAACATCTATCTTTATGATTTTATACTTTCAGTTTAGGCTAGTTGGGAACCCAAGAAAAATCTTAATATGGGACTTTCAGGAGCATGAATAAAAACAGGGGGTCAGAGGATGCTCAGATGATCTCAACAGAACTTCATCATAGGAAATAAATAGTGTTAACTGTTCTGCTCTCAAGAAAAAAAAAAGCTGTTATAAAAGTATAATGTATTTAATCCTTAAATATAACTCTGTGTGTGCCCACACATAAAACTTTCTAGCTTTGTCAACTTAAAAAGTCTAAAAGTGATTTAACTAACTCATGAACAAATGAACATCCCTGGTATCTTAACTGTGATCTTGAAATATCATTTCAAAACCATAAGTTCTTGAAAAATGGCTGTTTCCAATCCAAGTAATGTATTAGTTGAGCCTAGAACACCTTGTCTTACTAGACAGTAAGGAAAATATTAAATACTACAAGGGTTATGTCAAAAAGACTCAGGAGCCAACTTAAAGAGGTTCACACTGATTAAAGATGAAACAGCTTAAGCTTTAATATGGTGAAGAATTGCAACAGATCAAAGCCTATGAAAAATGTTTAAATCAATGGGTTCATAATGGTATTTAAAAGTAAACCAACAAAGTAGTCATCTTTAAGCTAGCAATTCATTATACTGAAAATTGTTTATAAAGGTAAAGACTCAAGAGTCTATCCTGACTTTTTCACATGAACTGTACCACTGGGCAACCTAGTAGATGAGAGGAAAAGGCTCTTTATAGCATCATTACACCTAAAAAATAAAAAAGACATAATACAATTAGAATATCACCATTTTCAACCCCAACTGAAGTTAATGGGTCAAGGCACTGAGCATCAATAACTGCTAACAAAAAGGAACAAAACTAAATAGTATGGTGATCTGATGAAAGAACACAATACCCTCCAGTCTGAACAAATTGACAACCTGAGGCTGCAAGACATTTAAGCCTGCTACCAATTTGCAGCAAATACAGAAGACAGAGGTACATGTTGAACTTCATTATGAATGTGCAAGACAAATATATAAAAAGCAATGGTATTTCTGCACACTAGTAACAAAAGGAATATGAAACATATTCTCTGAAAATTACAAAACATTATTGAAAGGAATTAAAGAAGATCTAAATAAAAGAAGACACATTAAATATTCATAGATCTGGCTGGGCACAGTGGCTCATGCATATAATCCCAGCACTTTGGGAGGCTGAGGTGGGCGGATCACTTGAGGTCAGGAGTTGGAGACCAGCCTGGCCAACCTGACGAAACCCCTTCTCTACCAAAAATACAAAAATTAGCCAGGCGTGATGACGTGTGCCTGTGATCCCAGCTACTCTGGAGGCTCAGGCATGAGAATCGCTTGAACTCAGGAGGCGGAGGCTGCAGTGAGCCAAGATCGCGCCACTGCAATCCAGCCTGGGTGAGAGAGCAAGACCCTGTCTCACACACACACACACACACACACACACACACACACAAATTCATAGATCTCTTCTTCCCTACAGCCTAACCAAGAAAGTTCAGTTTCGTTCTTTATCTTTGAGAACTTTTTTAAATATAAGAGAGAAAATATAAAAATAAGAGTTAATTGCTTCTGAGTGCCTGCAAATAAAAATTTTTAAGATCTCAGATTTATAAACAAAAATTAAAATAATGAGATAAAGCATTTTGCCTGTCATAAAGACTTGTTTTAATTTAAGAATCACTGCTAATAGGAGTGTAATTAATTGGGGAAAAAAATGATTGCTTGAATCAAGAAATTGATTAATATTTTATTCTTTGATCCAGTAATTTAAATGTTCTTCTGGGTCTTCTAAATACAGAGAAGGTTTTTATATACAAAAATATTACAGTGCACAATATTTTTCATAGCCATATTTATAAAATGATAAAATTGGAAACAATTCAATAGTAGAGACTGCCAAAATAAAATATGATACAACTACAGGACACAATTTTATATAGCCATCTACAAAGCAACTATCATCAAAAAATGTTTAGTAACATGGAAAATGTTTAGGTTAAAAAGTTAAGTGAAAATAATCTGAATAAAAATATATTTACAGAATCTCAGTGTATAGAAAAAATGTTAATCAAATTATTGATAATGGTTATCTTGTGGAAGACAGGAAGAGACCCAAGTGATCAGGTTTTCTTCTTTCCAATAAAAACATTTTCATATAACAACTATATATTATTAGCTCTTAGTTTTAAGAAAGCTAATTTTAAAGATAACAATTAACTCGTGAAAAATAACCTGCTAAATCAGATAACAGGCAGTGCTTTTTAAGATGAAATTTCCTTGGCCGGGCGCGGTGGCTCACGCCTGTAATCCCAGCACTTTAGGAGGCCGAGGCGGGCGGATCACAAGGTCAGGAGATCCAGACCATCCTGTCTAACACGGTGAAACCCCGTCTCTACTAAAAATACAAAAAAAAAAATTAGCTGGGCGTGGTGGCGGGCACTTGTAATCCCAGCTACTCTAGAGGCTGAGGCAGGCGAATGGCGTGAACCCGGGAGGCGGAGGTTGCAGTGAGCAGAGATCGCGCCACTGCACTCCAGCCTGGGCGACACAGCGACGAGATTCCGTCTCAAAAAAAAAAAAAAGACATTTCCTTAACTAATATTTATGTTTGATCTGCCAGTTGAGTAAATGTATACACATTTTTCCCAAGTTAATCTTTACAAGTTTATGCTCAAAGTGACCTTAAATTTATAATTTTGAAAACATCAGGAAGTAAACTCTATTCTTCAAATATGATCACTAAAGATATGTGCATAATTCTTAGGCATAAGTCCAAAAGTTATTACAAAAATTCAAAATATTATTCTAGGCAAAATTTCATTTCTGGGCAATCACATGCAATTTAAGTGAAATCAAGTCCAAATGTCATTGATTCATTTACACTTACATCACATTATTTCCACTTTTAAGAGAGATTTGGTAATTTAGAAACTTTAAGTCTCTTTCATGAGCTTGTATTTTTCTCTTAGAATTGTTATATCATTTCAAAGTAACACTTTACTTGCTATCTCCTAGTTATGAAGAATTTGATTTAGAGCTGAGAAACTCCCTCTCTAAGCATAACTTTCATTATTCAATCTTATTTACTTCAATGGGAAAGCCAAGTCAAAGATTAAAGTAAAAAAAAGTAGAAGTGCTACTAGCTACATTGGTATATGTGTATTATTATCATTATTATTATTAGGAGATGGAGTCTCACTCTGTCGCCCAGGCTGGAGTGCAGTGGTGCAATCTGGGCTCACTGCAACGTCCGCCTCCAGAGTTCAAGCCATTCTCCTGCCTCAGCCTCCCAAGTAGCTGGGATTACAGACACATGCCACCACACCCAGGGTTTCGCTATGTTGGCCAAGCTGGTCTCAAACTGCTGACCTCAGGTGATCCACCCACCTCAACCTCCCAAAGTGCTGGGATTACAGGTGTGGGTGACTACAGCCAGTCAATGTATATTATTAAAAATAAATATGGCTGGGCATAGTGACTCATACATATAATCCCCACACACAGGAGGACTGCTTGAGCCCAGGAGTTCAAGACCAGCTGGGCAACACAGCAAGACCCTATCTGCACAAAAAGGAAAAAAAGGATAAATATATAGCAACTGCATTTTAGGCAGAACCTCTCAAAATTTGAGACACAGCCTGTTTCCTTTTTTTGAGTCTGCCAAAATTTTGAAACATGAAGACCTGCCCAAACAAGTCTATGAAAACTGAATTATATACAAATGTTTAAATCTAACACCAAATTTTTAATATAATTTTGCTATTCCCAAGATGATTAGAAGATTTATAAAAATATTAATTCACCATATTAGAAGGGTATATTGTCCACTGTGAACACAAGGATGATGAAAGCCGTCTTCTCTCACACTGTTAGATTATCCTTAGAATTGCATATAAAACTTAATGATACATGCAAAACTTACAGACACAGCACTAGATTTTAACCTAGGATGCCTGGGTCCAAGGCTGTTGTACTCTTCAATCAGAGTGGACACAGAAGACTTTCAGACACTGAAGTTCTCTGATCAACATTGATATTGAAAATCTTTCTAAGACTCTCTTAATTATCTAGTCTCGTACCTGGAAGAACAATAGATATTACAGGGTCCATTCACCATGTTGGCCAGGCTGGTCTTGAACTCCTGACCTCAGGTTTTCTGCCTGCCTCAGCCTCCCAAAGTGCTGGGATTACGGGCGTGAGCCATCGCGCCCAGCCATGAGTGACCATTTTAATTGCACAATAAAAGTTTGAGGCATATGGCACCTTGACTTTGCTACTCAAAGTGTGGTCCTCAAACTAGTAGGATAGGCATTGCCTAGTAGAAATCCAGATTACAGAGCATCCCAGATCTGCTGAATCAGATTCTACATTTAAACAAGATCCCAGATAATTCAGGTAAGTCATAAGCACGTTGAAGTCGAAAAATTCTACACTAGATAGATACCCTTTCACTTTGTTTAATGGGTAGATGGACAGAATCATATAGATAACAAACTAAGGAATATTTTAGTCACAAACGTTCACAGCAATGTGATCAGCATTTACTTCTTTCCATAAGCTGCAGTTTGGATTAGACTATTAAACATTTCACAATAAATAATTACTTGAGATACTAAATCTATGTATTAAAAACTATAGAAAAGTGTTCTATATATTGAGAGTCTAGGGTAAGGTTAACATATGCTAAATGTTACAAGAAATATAAAAGAAAAATGAAAGCGTTATACCTTCAAAAATATGATTATCTTCATCAGAAAGTTGGAAATACCCAGAGAACACCATTTAGTAAGTTATTATATTTATACGTGTGTGTGCGTGTATGTGTGTGTGTTATCTTCCCATAACGATCGATCCTTTCCTTCTCTCTTCTGAGAATGGCATCCCAAATTTCACCGGGATACTTATTTCTCCTTCACTCTCAGTCCAGCTAGTTCAAGTAAGGCTCCACTCTGGGCTGCTGCTACCAGTCTAGACTTAGTATTGGCTAAAAGACCAACACATGATCTAAGTTAATTCAGTCAAAACAAGTCCCAGGACAGATTCATAAGTTCCCAGGAAGGAATCTTTCTTCTCAAGTTTATTTGAACATAGCACCAAATGAGCTTCAAACTGCTGAAGACCAACACACAGAGGGAGATAGTAAAAAATATTTCCCAACAGCAATACTTCACAGCAGCAATTTGATTAATAACTACGATCAACTTTATGAGAACTTAAAAATAAGACTTTGGACGTATTTTGGGCATAATTATTATTTTGCTATATGTTTACAACTGTGAAGGAGTTACATCTTTTGTGTTTTCATATTTATTTCCTTTTTCCCTGGTTTGTCTCTGGCAACCCAGGACTTGTTCTTTTTTATTCTATCATCTTATTCTTACTTTTTTTTAGTTCACATAGAAGCAAAAACATAGACTTCAAAAAGAAACTAAGAAATTTCAGAAGCATACTAACAGTGCGAGTTTTTAAGAATACATAAACAACTGGGACTATATGAGAGGAAAAAGGAGGTAGCAGAATGACCCAAAAAGAAAAGAAAAAAAAAATCAACAACGACAAAAACAACCAGAAAGATAACAAGGAAAATGTTTTTCCCCAAGAACAATGAGTGAAGTGCAAGTGGTGTCAGGGCTGAAATTTCTATCAACCACCAACCCTCAGTGAGATATCCATTGACCTGAAATCTCTAGTGCCAGGAGGAGTAGAGAGAATGGGCAGTCCCACCAACCTGCTAAAATCCATATTGGGATTCTCCAAAGAAAAAGAACCAATTGTGTGTGTGTGTGTGTGTGTGTGTGTGTGTCTGCAGAGTAAGAGAGAGAGAGACTGATGGATTAATTTTAAGGAATTAGTTCCTGTAATTGTAGGGGCTGGCAATTCAAAATTTGTGGGACAGGCCAGCAGGCCGGAGACCCAGGGAAGAGCTGGTGTTACAATCTTGAGTCTGAAGGTTGTCTGAGGCAGAAATTCCCTCTTCTTCAGGACACCTCAATCTATTTTCCTCTTAAAGCCTTCAATTGATTAGATGAGGCTCAGTCACGTTACGAAAGATAATCTGCTTTACTCAAAGTCTACCAATTTAAATGTTAATCTCATCTGAATAATATACCTTCACAGCAACATC
Organism: Homo sapiens; assembly: GCF_000001405.40. NCBI lineage: Eukaryota > Metazoa > Chordata > Mammalia > Primates > Hominidae > Homo > Homo sapiens. The sequence continues at coordinate 60,628 of NW_003315913.1, read as the reverse complement.
TAGACTGATGTTTGACCAAGTATCTGGGTATCATGGCCTAGCCAAGCTGGCATACAATTAACCATCACAAGTTCACTCTGTCAATTTGGTAGTCAGACACATCTTAAAATCCATATCTCTGAAAAAAGACTGAAAGACTAGAAAGGCTTCAATATTTTTGGCTTGAACAACACTGGGTAAGTGGGAAATACTGGAAGGGGTAAGCTGCTAGAGTGGTGCTACTGGGTGGAGTAGCAGAAAGGAGGAAAATACCTGTTTCAGACATGTTGAATTTGAGATACTTAATAGAATGGATATGCTAGATAGGGAACAGAATGCACATGTCTAGAGTTCAGGTGAAAGATCAGAGTAGAAAATGTTAAGTTTAGAATTCATTGATATATGGATAATTACATGAAGTCATGAGATAAATGTCTGACAGAGAGAGAGAAGGCTCCTAGGACCTGTTTTGGGCAGGTCCAACATTTAAAGAATAAACAGATGAAGAGGACCCAGTATAGGGGATGAGAGGGAGTGGCAGGAAGGGGAGCCAGGAGAGGGTGGGGTCCCAAAAGCCAAGAAAACAACATGATTCATCAAGAAGGGACTAGTTGACTGATTCATTTATAACTGACAACATGGAGAAAATTGGTCGTGGAATTACTCTGGATTTTTTTCAAATTAATATACTACATTCTTGCAAAAAGAGAAGAAACCAAGATAGTTCATGAACCTTATCTTTTCTTAGGTGTTATAAACCTCAGGAAAAGAGTCAGTGTGTTACATTTTCTTACCTTTGCCTATACCAAATTAGCTTCCCTGATAATTGTGATGATCGCTTACAGGGAGCCTTTACTGCTTACAAGAATAAAAGAAGAAATACTGGAAAATGTGGAAAGGTGCTCTACACACACATAGAAATGTCCTGCCCTTTCTGAAGAGAATGAATTGCAGGTTCCCAAAGGCTCTAAAGAATAGCACTTGTTGATTTGACTCTCAGCTTGGACCTTATGGGTGTTTGGAAATGTTGCTGATTTTTGTACGTTGATTTTGTATCCTGAAACCTTACTGAAGTTGTTTATCAGCTCTAGGAGCTTTCCTCACAGCACTATTTACAATAACTAAGATATGGAATCAACGAAGATGCCCACCAATGGTGGACTGGATAAAGAAAATGTTGTACATATTCATCAATAGTACACAGCCATTAAAAAAGAATGAAATCTTGCATCCTTTGCAGCAACGTGGATGCAGCTGGAGGCCATTATCCTAAGCAAATTAATTCAGGAACAGAAAACCAAATACTGAATGTTCTCACTCATAAGCGGGAGCTAAACATTGAAAACAAAGATGGGAACAAGGGCCAGTAGGGACTACCTTAGGTGGGGAGGGTGTGAGGGGAGCATGGGTTAGAAGGCCACCTATCGGTTACTACACTAAGCAATAAATTATGGTCCAAGAAAAATTTCCAGAAAAAAAAATCATCTGAATCTACACGTTGAAAAGTTTCTCCTGGTACCTGGCAAAAATTAACCCAAAATGATTAACTCTTTGACATTATTTTAGTAAAATTATTATATTTCAAAAATAAAGACAAGACTCTCAAGACCACCAAGCAAAAATCTAAAATAACTTAAAAAGTCAAAAGAATTAGAATGCCATTACACTTTTCAAAACCAAATACCAAACAAGACAACTATGAATCAATCTTTATAAAAATACTCAATGAAAGAAAATGTGAAACAAGGATTTTATGTCCAATCAAGTTGTTCTTCAAATAGCAAGAATAGTAGAAATATTTTCAACATACAAGAACATAGGAGATTCTACACATGGCATCCCTTCTTGAGGAATTTGCTAGAGCATGAACTTCACATAAGTGATGACTGGGAAAGCTCTACTAGAAGAACTGATAATGAGCTTTTTTTTTTTTTTTTTTTTAGACAGAATCTTGCTCTATTGCCCAGGTTGGAGTGTAGTGGCACAATCATAGCTCACTGCAGCCTTGAACTCCTGGGCTCAAGGGATCCTCCCACCTCAGTCTCCCAAGTAGCTGGGACTACAGGCATAAGCCACCAAGCCTGGTTAATTAAAAAACATTTTTGTAGAGACAGGTTCTTGCTATGTTGCCAAGGCTGGTCTCAAACTCCTGGCCTCAAGCAATCCTCCCTCTTTAGCCTCCCAAAGTACTAGCCTTACAGGCATGAACCACCACACCCAGCTGCATTTTAAAATATATAAATGTACACATAAGACTGAAAAAAATGTAGGATAAGGGTAGAAAATTAAGGTATAAATATTATATCCTGTGAAAAGTAGAAATTAAGCAACTAAAAAACAACCAAGTACAACAACTAAGGAAAGAGAAAAATAGGAAAAGCTTGGTGCTATATAAGCAACATATGCGCACTAAAGGATACTGGGGAAAAAAATGGTATCAACCAGATAGTTAAAGGGCAGATAAGAAAATAGACTAAATACACTTATAAAAATAATAAATACAAAGGTAACCACTAGAATAAAAACACAAACCTTCCTAGACTGTACAAATAATAAATAGCACAAAGAATGTACATCTCATACAGAAAAAAACAAATACAAAATACACATAATTACAAAGTATCAGGACAAAGCATATTAGTTATATCGATAAATGTGAATATGCTCAACTTCCCATTTAAAGAAATCAATTTTCAATTTGGTTAACAAAACAAGACCCAAATATACGCATTAAAGAAAAGGCAATTTGAAAGCAAAGTAATTCAAAGAGGTTAAAACTAAAAGAATGGATACTTTACCCTATTTCTTTCATTCAGTATAAATTAAAATTCTGAATGTTTTGTTTTGTTTTGTTTGTTTGTTTGTTTTTTGAGATGGAGTCTTGCTCTGTCGCCAGGCTGGAGTGCAGTGGCACAGTCTTGGCTCACTGCAACCTCTGCCTCCCTCATTCAAGTGATTCTCCTGCCTCAGCCTCCCTAGTAGCTGTGACTACAGGCATGTGCCACCACGCCTGGCTAATTTTTTGTATTTTTAGTAATCACAGGGTTTCACCATGTTGGCCCAGATGGTCTCAATCTCTTGACCTCATGATCTACCTGCCTCAGCCTCCCAAAGTGCTGGGATTACAGGCGTGAGCCACCATGCCTGGCCAAAAAATTCTGAATGCTATATGTAAAATGAACATAATAAAGGTGGTAAAGAAGGCAGCAGACCAGCTAGGGAGCTAAAGACCTGAGGAACAACATGGTGGTGAGTCCCCTGAGTTTTCTTTTTGTCTCATATATCCCACACTTGGATCTGAAAAAGCCAGCAATGTAGAAAAGTCAAGAGGTACCAACAGAGCAAACAAACTGTGGTCCACACCTATCCATGGCCAAGTGGGGGGCCTAGACTTTCATCTTCATGAGACTTCAACTCAACAGAAAAGCTGAAAAACTATTTCAAAAAATAAAAGAATTAAGTATGGTGGCAGGATACAAAATAACTATACACAAATCAATGGACCTTATATTTCAAACAAGAAAGTGTGAAAATTAGAATTAAATAGACTATAAAATTTATATTACATTATGATATAAAATATCAAGGAATAAATTGAAGAAATATTTGTAGAAAACTTTACAGTGCTACCGAGAGACCAAAAGCAGACTTGAACACATAGAAAGTTCAGAGGAAAATAAGAAAGATGCTAATGCCAGGGTTGTGAGAGGACTCCAACAGCCACGACTTCAGGGGGCATACAGGAATTAGTGAGATTGAGGTAAGATCCAGAGGAGGTGAGTGGGGCTTCCCAAAATGTTTGAGGCTATGAATCTTGCTAATGATGAACCATCAATTCCAAAGAGCAAAGTGTAAAGACTTCAGGGTTGGGAAGGTGGACAATAGAGAATAGGGGATCTGCAGAGCTTGGCACGGTGTGAAAATAAAGACTGACCCTGGTATCTGGTGCTTCTTGTGATAACTGACAAAAACAATAATAAGAGGCATAATGAGATTAGTCTTAGTGGACTCAAGGCAGATAGTTTTGGAGACTCTGTGAACAGAGGGAATAGGGACTAGTTGGTGGATATATCAGGCTCTCTCTTCACCCCTGACAATGGATGATTTCTCAGGCCAAAATACCTTGGAATCATTTATTTTTTGGTTTATCAAACTCCTCTTATAGCCTTTATCCAAATTCAAACATATATTATGGACTGAGAGAAGATTTTTGCAATACACATAGCATGCAACAAGAATAGTATTGGAAATACATATGGAACTCCTAATATTCTTTAAGACAGTCTACAAAAAGGAGACAAAACTGAAATGCTAATAAACATATGCAAATTTGTACAAATATGTATAAAATCATTATTAATCAGATAAATGAGAAATAAAATAACCAGACACTTTGGCTTAGCAATAGATAAGCCAAAATTTTAAAATGTGATAACAGCAAGTATAGAGAGGTAACTGGGAAACAGGAACTCTCAGCCACTTCTGTGACAATGTTTTTTATGATATCTAGTACTCTTGACACCGAATGTAGTCTGAAACCCAAAAAATCCACTTCTCAGTATAAATCTTAGAAATTTTCTTGTCTCTATAAGAAGACATGTATGGGATATCTATGTGGTCAAGTTCATAATAAACAAAAACTAGAAACAAAGTAAATGTCTAACTGAGAATGAATGACAAAATCAGTTATGTTACATGACTATAACAGAACACTAAATAATAGAGAAAACAAATGAACTGATTATGTGTTGAAATTATGGACTGTTGAGAGTGAAAACACAAGTATCAAAGAAGATGTGTATAATGTAATACTATCTTTCTACAGCTTACAAATGCAAAACAAAACAAAAGACCTTGTGTATTCTTTATGGGCACATGCATATGAGTGTAAAAGTATAAAAACATGGACTAGAGGGATATACACCAACTTCAAGACAGTGCCAGTCTCTGGGGATGGAGGGAGGAAAATGGGATAGGAAAGGTCATACTGAATCTTTATTGTATTTAAGCAGAACAACCTGCAACAAATACAGTACAATGATATTTTTTGTACATTCTGAGAGGTAAGCACTTAAGTGTCTGTTATATAGTCCTAGATACTTTCTGTATCTAGGATTATTTCACTTTTTAAATTTTAGTTTCTATTTGGATTTAAGAAAGAGTAGGAATCTACAAAAAATATTTTGTATGTCGTCTCTTAAAAGCAGATATTTTGGCATTCATCTTAATATCCCAAGTGCCTTTAAACAGGCTATTCAATTAATATTATGTACCTAGGTAAATAGTAAATGAAGAAATGAATGAATGAATCCCACTTTTAAATGCCTCTGCTTTTCCACATATATCAAAAAACATAAAAGAAATGAAGAACAATTAATATATATAGGGTAATATACATATAATACAACTCAATCTTCATTTTTGCTTTTTGTCAATGCTATTTGTGACTGGGCCTTTAATGCTCTGGAGTTTTTGCCTACTTGTGCCTCTGTCCACCTAGTGAACTTGACTTTTGCCCTACATCTGTGGATGGGACAGATGTCTCCCATTAAGGGGATAGCCAGTTTCAGATCCTGTTCTCCAAACCTGCCTTGATGTCTTCCACATTCCAAAATGATACGCAAAATTATATGAAGTCTCTTAATGGCTTTAAATTTTTATTTCCCATTTGTTTTTAAAGTTGTTGAAACAATACCATTATTACTAGACTACTTGTTAAAAGGGGGGAGAAAAAACAGAAAAGAAATAAATGCTAATTCTTAACATATGTTTAAAAACCATTGCCAGTAAATTTTTAAGAGTTATTTGCTTATGTAAGGGAAATTTTACCCAAGCTACTGCAAAGAATTTGCCAATTATATTGCATAATAATATTACCAAAAATTGGGAATTAAATACTGATTTTTCTGGGCATGTGAGATTTCTCAAGGAGGTAGACACAAAATAATGCCTCTTCAGGAAAGGTTGTATTAAAAGATATTTTTATAGTTCTCAAAAATATCAAAGTCCACTTTGGGAGCCCAAGGTGGGTGGATCACGATGTCAGGAGTTCAAGACCAGCCTGGCCAAGATGGTGAAACCCCATCTCTACTAAAAATACAAAAATTAGCCAGGCATGGTGTTGGGTGCCTGTAATCCCAGCTACTCAGGAGGCTGAGGCAGAGAATTGCTTGAACCCAGGAGGTAGAGGTTGCAGTGAGCTGAGATCGTGCCACTGCACTCCAGTCTGGGTGACAGAGCGAGACTCTGTCTCAAAAAAAAAAAAAATCAAAGTCATATTTTCCATCTGATAAAATAAAGTACCTCTTGAATTTGAAAATTATGCTATATTTGTATTATCTGCTCAACTACAAGATGACTTTGGGATTATATCTTTATAAAAAGAAAACTGATTTATACCATTAAATGCCCTATTTTTTATCTTTCCGATATTCTTTAACTAGGATAGGGTTTAGGCACTAATCTTCTCCTGAGTCCTACATTTAGTTCACTTTTCTTTTTACTCCGGTTTCCTCATCAATATCATTTATTCATGTCTTTTAACCACTGGTTACGTACATAGGATTTTGACGCCAGTATTTCTAGCCCACTTCACTCCAACAATCTGACTTGTCTAACGGCTTACTGGATGTATCACAAATACTGTAAACTCAGTAGGTCCCCCAAACATTTAATTTACCCATAATTTACTTCCTAATCTATTTTCTCTGTCTTGGTTTTTTTTTTTTTTTTTTTTTTTTGAGGCTGAGTCTCGCTCTATTGCCCAGTCTGGAGTGCAGTGGTGTAATCTCAGCTCACTGCAACCTCCGCCTCCTGAGTTCAAGCGATTCTTCTGCCTCAGCCTCCCAAGTAGCTGGAATTACAGGCGCCAACCACCATGCCTGGCTAATTTTTGTATTTTTAGTAGATAAGCAGTTACATCATCTTGACCAGGCTGGTCTTGAACTCCTGATCTCAAGTGATCAAGTGATCTGCCCGTCTCGGCCTCCCAAAGTGCTGGGACTACAGGTGTGAGCTACCACACCTGGCCTGTCTTGATTTTTAATACCTTATCTATTATACCTTAAGTCCAAAATTCTTTCCTTTCCCTTTCCAAAATCCTGTTGATTCTACCTCTAATTGTATGCCAAACAACTTACCTTCATTTCAACTGTCCCTTGGTCATAATTCTCTCTCACTTGACTTGAAATGTTCCCCAAATGAGCTCTATGTCTTTTACTTCTCCCCATTTTCAGGATTATGATCAACACTGCTAAAGGATTATCCTTGGCTTCTGGTTTGAATAAGTACATGGAGGTTGGTGCTTTCCTGATATGGAAAAGAGTAAAACACAAAAGGGTAGAAGAACAGTAAGAATTTTAAGATGCTTTGATATAAACTGGCAAAGATGCAGCCTAGGCATTTTGGTATACAAGCTAATAGTTTATTGATGACTCACCGTATCCCAGATCTAAGAGCTTTATATTATTATGGACTGAATGTTTCCCCCCCAATGAAAAATTTATATGTTGAAATCCCAACTCCCAATGTGATGGCACGAGAAGGTGAGACCTTTGGGAGGTGATTAAGTGTTGAGGATGGAGCCCTCGTGAATGAGATTAGTGTGCCCTTAAAAAAAGAGACATGAGAGTTTGCCCTCATTGTTTGCTCTCCACCATGTGAGGATACAACAAGAAGACAGCCCTCTGCAAAGTGTCAAGTAATGAGTTGGAGTTTTGATTATTTTTCACATGAAAAGCTGTATGTCTATCATAAATCCAGTGATCATATTTTCCAAATTATGGTTGAACTTATGGGGACAACTGAGTTGAAGAGTATTCCAAAAACTTCAGAGCACTGAGTGGCCATTGTCACATAGGAAATAATGTATTGAGCTCCTTAAAGGAAGGGCTCTGCATTTCACCTTTCATTTCTATTTCCTGGAATGCACTCAAAAAGGGTTAAATATATTAAACATAGCATAGAAAAATTTTTTGATGATAAGTAATTTTGAGGAAAAGATATGATTTTACTCTTATTTTCAATGTCACTAGGTTTGCTAAGTTTGCAGTCTCAGAGTTAGACTAGTCTTACAAAGTTTTCCTCATTTGTTTTTTCCCCATCAAATAAAATCAACCTTCAGTTTTGATAATGCAGCATGAAACACTGGGTTTAGGTCTCATTAGTTACAGAGCAGAGTTGAGCCTTTGAAAGCTCGAAAGAGAATTACTACTACATCATGCAGTAATAAATGTGCAGTAGTAGTTGACATTTAGGAAGCTAGTGTTTAGACCTGTAAAATTCAGACTTCTAAGGGACAAATTCGATTTTTAAATTATAACAACTTAATTAAATCCAAGATGTATATTCAGCTACATAGAAAGAAGGCTTTTTTACAAAAAATTTATTTGGCAATCACAAAGAAACAAGTAGAAATTATCACAATCTTCTTTAAATGGAAATTTTAAGTCTCTAAAAGAGAGAGAATGCCATCTCTTAACTTTCTTAAATACAGAAAAATTTTACTGATTTTCCACAAAATGTTTTCATTAGGGTAAAGAGAAACTTGGATTTCTCATCTGTCTTTTTTTTTAAGTGGTGGGGAAAATGTTTAATGTAAGACCACTAAAGGCCAGGCGCAGTGGCTCCCGCCTATAATTCCAGCACTTCAGGAGGCTGAGGCAGGTAGATCACCTGAGGTCAGGAGTGCGAGACCAGCCTGGCCAACATGGTGAAACCCCATCTCTACTAACAATACAAAAATTAGCAGGGCGTGGTGGCGGGTGCCTGTAATCCCAGCTACTTGGGAGGCTGAGGCAGGAGAATCACTAGAACACAGGAGGCAGAGGTTGCAGTGAGCCAAGATCATGCCATTGCACTCTAGCCTGGGGGACAAGAGCAAGACTTCATCTCAAAGAAAAAAAAAAAACACTAAAAATTTTTCAAAACTCTCCACTGATGTTTAAATAATTTTAAACTGTCATTTATATTTTCATAAAATTTTATGCCCTTTTTTTCCTATGGGAAAAAGGAAGTGGCAGAATGATGACAGTGATGAAAGGAAATAGATGGAAGCTGTGCTTAGTTGATCCCCAGATTGTCAGGTTGAGGTGTGAGCCCAGAGTCCTTAAGAAGCCAATCCCTGTGTGGGTTCCCAATACACTACCTGTGCCCAAGAGAAGAGAAAGAATAAATATTCATGAGGAAATAGAGAAATGTGTAATTGATATTTTTCCCCAAAGTAACAATTCTAGTGAACACAGTAAATAAAGGTGGTTTTTCTCTACTCTTTTCCTTGGGGCCCACTGAAAACATCAAAATAATTTTTTTTTATAGGGGAGGGAACACCATCTTCAGTAATTTAGAGAAATGACCATGTTTTCTATGTCTGTCTTGGGACACACACCTGCTGAATAGTGAAGGACCACGAAAGAAAATAGATGCTACATCAGACTGGAAGAAAGATACATTTCTCTCCCAAAAGGAGCGTCATGGCCCCATATGGCATATCCAACAATTCTTTGATTAGGAAAATAAGCTATAAGGGCATGGGCAAGCCATGAAGACAAAAAGAGTCACAGATTGACATTGCAAAATGGTGGAACAGAGCCAAAGAAGCAACCTTGCTGACCCGCCATTTTGTTTTTTTTCTCAGTGGGCCTCTCAGCTGACGAAGATGAGCAGAGGGAAAGCAGGGTGGGGTGGAGTGGGAAAAAGGGGAGAGAATGGACAGCCTGTGCCTTAGAAAGGTTTTGTTGTGTACATACACCAACCTCCTAAATAGGGGGCTACTCCCAGCATAAAGGAAGTAAAACATTTGGTGAGAGTATTTGCAACTACACATCTGAGTATTAAACTAAGAACTATTTTTATAATTTTTATTAAGTACATAAAAAGACTTAGTTTAGAATTAACTGCTGTAATTGAGAACTGGCTGACTTACAAGTAGCCTCTGGAGAATGCTGCTTCTCAAGGCTGTTAAGTGATATTTTTCTGATGTAAGCAAGTTTAGGGGTAACATGGAAGGAGCCATAAACAAGGTGACTTAATCATCCTGGTTTTCCCAGGATTCCCCAGGTTTTAGCACTGAGAGTTCTGCATCCTGGAAAACTCCTCAATTCTGGGAAAATGAGAATGGTTGGTCACCTAGGGAAGGAACCACAATTCCTCCAAGATTCCTCAGTGAAGGGGGTCCTAAAGATAGGATTCTAACTATCGTTTGGGCACTGCATCTGGAAAACAATCAAGAATACAGGTTGCGGAGAGTTGAGGTGTGGGTAAATGATCAGAAACACCAAGGTGGCAGTAATCTGTAACCTTACTGAGCCCTTTACCACTGGTAGGCAATTCGGGCCCTGAGAAGCCTCATACCTACAGTAAAATGATTACTTGATTTCTAAGTAGCTTTGTAAGTAGGATCCTGTTGCTCAAAAGAAGCAACAATGACATAAGGAACTAGAGAAGGCTACAGTTCTCTGATCAGGGTCCAGAAAGCCAGCTGTCACATTCCTGTGTGGTAGCAGGGGAAAGTCTGGCAATGAAAACAGTGAGCTTTATTGAATTGTCCAAAAATATCATGGCTCGTGTGACTAATTTTATTGTTCCATTAGCTGCTTTTCTAGAATTCTCCTCTGGAGAAGTATTAGCCATCATTAAATAAAGGAAGTCCTGCTGCTACTCTCCTGTGGCACACGATGTGGAGCAACTCACATGAGTGACTGAAGTCCATGCACCTGTTTATTCACTGTCAAGGGCTCAGCCATAACTGTAAATCACAAATGTGTGATGACACTAATTAACTCACTTGTGTGCTTTCTTCAGCACGTGGCAATCCAGGGAGAAAGGGTTGTTCTGTGGGCCCTGGTTTGAGGGTTGGCGGTAGTTGTGAGAAAGTGCTTGAGGAGTTACTGAGAAGGAGGTTAAAATGATTAACTAGAGAGTTCTGGGTGGATAGAGAAAGACAGGAGAGAGCCAAGAAAATGGGAGTGCAGATAACAATCAAAGCTACAATGAGATGAAAGAGCAAGTAAAGTGGGTCAAAAGTTATGATCAAAGGATGGAATGTCAAAGTTCAAGATTTCAGAGATAAAACAATTACAGTTAATTGAAGGTCCAGAGTATTGGCATAAAAGTGGGTTGCTAAAATGAGGTGAAGAAAATGTCCTTGAAATGAATGACTGAAGGAATTCCTAGAGGGCTGGATAGGTCAATGTGGACACTGAAGTTTGCCCAGAATTATGTCATGAGTTGCAATGAGCCATGGGGAGCCCCATGGGATTGGGAGAGCCCGTTAAGACAGGCCTATCCATGCCACATATCCTCACTGTGGTTCACAGCTCTTATCAGAGCAACCCTTTGTTTTCTATTTGGGGAAGTAACAGACAGATTTGTACAGGGAACCTAAATTTGGGTTCAAATCATATTACAGTAATGTAGTGCTCAGAAAACTGCATTCATATCCTAAATTCTGAAAAAATTACTACAACACAATGCGGAAGCTTTCTTGGCTTTGGGATGATTGAGCAAAGGCCTCAGGGATACCATAGCTGAAGAATTTCTAAGCTGCTTAAATATCAACAAACCTGATCTTGAAGTGAAGCCGGTCACTTCAACTATAGGATAAAAGGCAAGTTTATGGAAGAAATGACTGAATGATCACCGTGAGAACAGCTTGGATGCAAAAGGCAGAATATTTCATGAGCGAGAGAGATTGAGAGAGGGGGAGAGAGAGAGAGAGTGTGTGTGTGTGTGTGTGTGTGTGTGTGTGTGTGTGTGTGTGTGTTGTTCTACCATTGTTAACATGAGCTGGGGAGCTAGGGAGTGGGGAAGGGAAGCAAATTGTCTCTACTTGAACTTTGCTCTCCCAACTTTTTCCCTGACTATGACTGGTTGTCCATATAGCTGACTTCTCCTTAAGTTTTCTACCACTCATCTTGTTTCATGCAATTTGTTCATATTTCCCATTATGCCCTCTATATAAACCTTAACCCAAATTGCAGACATTAAAATGAGGCTTTTTTTCCAGAAACTGAGAATCATTGTAACTACTTTCAAGAAAAATTAATAAGAACAGTAAACATATATATAAACATATATATATATACATATATACACACACACTATGCACCAACCTCTGTTCTAAGTACTTTATATTCATTCATTTACCTAATCCTCACAATAAACTCATGAGATACATATTATAATTATCCTTATTCTATCTATTTGGAAACCAGGCACAGAGAGGTTAAGAAACTTGCCCAGGATGAAGGCTTAATTTGAACCTGGGTAGTCTGGCTCCAGGGCCAGTGTTCTTAACAACTAAACCCGTGGCTTTCCAGGGCTGGTCACCAGGCCAGCAGCAGTACCAGCAGCATTTGGGAGCTTGTTAGAAATGCATAGCCCTGAGCTCCACACCAAGCCTGTGGAATCAGAAACTTTGGAGGTGGTGTTAGGGATTTGTGTGTTTTAATGAGCTCTCCCAGAAGTCTGATGTTGTCTCAAGTTTGAGAAACACAGCAATACACCACATTGCCCAAAGCAGCCACGTAGTAACAAAGCTGGCCTCAGCGTCAAGAGACCACATGGATCATTTCTCTACCCACATTGGGAGCTCAGAATAACTGCTGTTTTAGAATTTCTAGATTGAATTTTTACAATCACGATTTGAATTCTACTAAAAGGAATTTACTTGAGAACCCACAACAGGGTAATGAACATGGCACAAGTTGTCAACATGCTGGTTAGGGTAGAAAAAGTATGCTACCTCTTTGTCCAGGGTTGTTTACACATCTGCCCATTTTCAGCTTCAATTGGAAAGGATGTGGCCAAGAAACTGTTTTGAATCACTGAGTCTGGTCCAAGTTAAAAAGTCATCCAACTTCTTCAGAGTGGCACCTGTAGACACAGCCAAATCTGTGTGGCAGAACATCTGCAACACAACTCCAGGTGACACTCTGCCAGATCATTTAAAATTCTGCATGTCTATTACTATGAAAAAGTGACTCTCCATCATTCTCAAGTTTCAGCAATGCCTTTTTAATCAAATTAAGAGATAAAATGTCATTGCCTCTACCTAAGGTCATACATTTTTTGAATATTCCCATGCTCAAAGAATACACCTACATAAAAAGACTGGTAGGAAGTAAATCAGCAAGTTAAGTGTCTGTCTCTAGAAATAGGGATTATGAAAGTATTTTTTCTTCTTACACTTTTATATCTCATGGCTTGACCTCTGCCCTGAACTCTAAACTCCACCTGAACTGCTAACTCAACACTCATTTAAATGCTTGATATGCAACTGAAACTTAACATGTAAAGAAATAGCAGCTTAATTTCTACCATTCTCCCAATAAAATCCTTCCCCTTTTTTTCATCTCAGTTAAGAAAAAATTCATACAAGTTCTTGAACCAAATCTTGTAGTCAATCTTTATTCTTTTTCGTTCACAAATTATACAAATTATATCTAATTTGTCAGAAATTCTGTTTGACTAACTACATCCAGAAGGGACTATTTTTTACCAACATCACAAAACCACCCTGATCTAAACTACCACCATTTCTCACCTGAATTATTGTAGTTCTTTCCTTGCTGGTCTTCATGTTTCCACCATCTCCCTCTAGGTCTATTCTCCACAGAGTTGCCAGAGTGACCCTTTTAAAACATGAGGCAAATCATGTCATTTTATTGATCAAAATTTTACAATGGCTGTCAAGAACTGTGAAGAGTATGAGATTTATATTACCCTACTTCGAAGTTAATAAATTAGCCTATTAGTGTTTCAGGGATGCTAGCAAAGACAAAAAGACTCCTAGGTCCAACATGAAGGATTTTGTTACTCAGAGCCCAGCAGGCAGCATGAGCATCAGCTGCAAACATCAGTTCTCCATACTCTCCAGGTCCCTTGACAGCAAGGCAATGGGCCAAAATAAATATGTGCATATGCAGTGGGGTACATTATAAGAGAGGGACAATGAGTTCATGGAATGCATCATTTTATAGCAAGCACTAAGCAAGCCTGCTCTTTGTTCTGGAAGAAGGCATCCCTCAAGGTTGCTCATTACAAACACGACTCGGAGAAATGGTCTGGATAAAGAGTGCTCAGGGACTTGCATTCTTGGCATACTTAGCAATGAAGTATGAAGGTGCGTAAGACGTCCATGGAGGACAATCTACTCCAACAATGACTTCCCATGTTAATTAGAATAAAAGCAATGGTCTTTATAATGATCTACAAGGCCCCACACTATCTGCTTTCCTTCACTGCCTTTTCTTTCTATCACTCATCACTCTATTGATCACCACTCTGCTTTAGCCATACTGGCTGCCATGCTGTTCCTCACATATGTGAGTCATGATCCTGCCTCAGAACTCTTGGTGTTACATTCTTCTGCCTGGAATGCTCTTCCTCCAGTTATACTCATAGCATTATAGATTGAACACTTATGTCCCCCCAAAATTAATACATTTAAATCCTAACCCCCAGGGTGATGGATAGTATTAGAAGGTGGGTTTTTGGGGAGGTGATTAGGTTATGAGGGCAGACCCCTCATGACTGAAATTAGTGCCCTTATAAAAGAGATCCCACAAAACTAGCCCTCCCCTTCCACCATGTGAGGACACAGCCAGAGGTGCTCTCTGTGAGGAAACATGTCTTCACCAGACACCAAATCTGCTGGTGCCATAATCATGGGCTTCTCAGCCTCCAGAACTGTGAGAAATAAATCTTTCTGGTTTATAAGCCATTCCGTTTACAGTATTTTTGAAAAAGCAGCCTGAATGAAGACACATGATTTATTCCCTTATTTCCTTCAAGAACGTGTTCAAATGTCACCTTTTCTGTGAGGTCTCTTCTGGCCACTATATTTAAAACTCCTATCTCTAAACCTTCTGGCACTCCATATGCCCCATGCCCTGACTTATTTTTCTGTTTGTACTTATCACCATCTGACATACCATATGAACACCTATGTTATATATATATACACACACACACACACACACATATATACACACACAAACATATACACACACACAGAGGTATATGCATATATGTGTAAATATATATATGATATACTATATTAGATATGTGTATAATTTATTGTATGTCTCTCCTCCAAGAGGACAGGGACTTTATTGGTTTTGTTCACTACTGGATCATCAGTGTCTAAAACCAGTCCTACAGTACATAGCAGGTACTCAAAAAAATACTTGTTGAGGCTGGGTGTGGTGGCTCACACTTGTAAACCCAGCACTTTGGGAGGCCGAGGTGGCCAGATCACCTGAGGTCAGGAGTTTGAGACCAGGCTGGCCAACATGGTGAAACCCCGTCTTCACTAAAAGTACAAAAATTAGCCGGGTGTGGTGGCAGGTGCCTGTAATCCCAGCTACTCAGGATGCTGAGGCAGGAGAATTGCTTGAACCCGGGAGACGGAGGTTGCAGTGAGCCGAGATCTCACCATTGCACTCCAGCCTGGGGAACAAGAGCGAGACTTTGTCTGAAAAAAATATATATACATATATATATATATTTGTTCAATAAGTTGAATGAGTTAATGTTTTTGTATAGTTTTCAAGTTTCCTAAAACAAACATCATTTTTATAATCGGAAACAAATAGTATAAGGTTACTTTTAGTGGCATTACTTTTAATGGCAAAAACCACAATTACTTTTGCACCAACCTAATACTTTCTATATAGAAGAATTTGCCCAAATGCAACAAGTTGTTTATAGACCCAAACAACTCAGGCAGACCCCACCCACGTCCCTGGCTGAGGTATGAGTAGCTAGCAATAGCTAAACTTACTAAGCATTACTATGCTGGACACTTTATAAATTAGCTCATATAATTTTTGCAACTTTGTAAGACATAACCCCCATTTTATCTATAAAGAAACTGAGGTTCAGTTAAATAACTTTTTCAAGATCACAAAGTTTATAACTGGAATTGTGATTATGAATCCAGACAGCAGTACTGCCCTGAGATCTGGGTAAGGAGGGCCCCTGTTTGAGACTTCGTATTTTTGTATGACTTCCTCAGCATTTTCTAAGTACCCTCAGTTGCCTGAACTCAATCAGGTCTACCAATGCTGTCTGGGCATGATGTCCTGATCTTAAACCCCATTTCTTCTCTTCCAAATGCTCTGCAACCCTCTCCTCTGCACAAGATCCTGAAGAGCATCAGAACTCATGCTAATAGGCTCCAGGAGAATGGTTCAGATGCAGGTTCCAGGACAGTGGCCTGACAAGTGGATCACTCCTGCTGACTCTTGCAGTATTTCTTTCATGGGATTATGTGAGATGGGACCATCAGAATGGCTAACTTGGGTGGCTCTTACCCCAGTGAAAAGATAAGTTCTGGGCTCCAAGCTACTGAGGACCATTGCTGGTACTTGGGTTTGAGCCAGATGTGTGGTCCCATGCATCAGCTCTTGCCTATCTGTATCTCAACCCTGATGCCACATACTGTCTATAGCACCTAAGGATGGTGGGAACAGTGATCTCTCAGCTTATGTGTCCCTCACCCACTGGCACTCAAAGCAGTCATTCCACCTATCTTCAGGGTCCATACCCTGCATCCAGCAGTGCTCTGGAGAATCTGTTGCTCTGCAAAGCCAATGGACCTTTCTCATCATTGTCTTCTCTTGGCTGATTGGTACAATGATAGAGGTCTCTCCTGGGTCAGTTTTAATCCATGACAGATGAGAAATGGTCATTTCTTGTGCAAATGGGACTGCTCTTTTTGCTCTGCCCTTGGGCTCTCACATCTTCTCCCCAAGAGCGGCAGTGAATGGAAGGCACAGGTGGGAGCCACATAGAAAGGGATCACATTCTCAGAATCCATCATTACAATTTAACAAGTTAAAGAGAAAACATGGCTGGTTGTTGCATTGCTCTAGTTTATGCTCTAACATTCCAGTCTGTAAACTTAACATGAATAGCAAATGAATTATTGTTCTCCATTTTTTCTGAATACTCTGCATAAAACTTGCATTTGTAGTCATCACAAGTACATATGTGGCACTTAACTCGGCACAATAATAACCTTTGAGTGTCATTGGAAGCCAGTATTCATGGGGTCACAATGAATAATGCAGCATCACGAGTAATGGTGTAACCAGCAATTAAATAAATGATATTAGGAAACTGCAAAATCAAGATAATCTCTGTTGCTTCAACACAAACAGGTTCCAGTGAGCCATGGCATTGTCCGTAACATCATTGCTCTCTTTTCATTGTGATGAGAAAATAAACACGAAGAGATATTTTCCAGAACACAATTGGCAGAGATGGTGCCAGAACACAACAAAAAACTTTCTGAGGCCAACCTTCTATTTAATATCCAAATAAACTATCAGCACAATCTATCCAACTTTTATTTTTGTCATCAGTCACAGTTCTCTACTATATTTGTAAAAGGATGCTTTATCTTGGCATAGCTGCAGCCCATTTCTGTGTTAAGATTTTTACATTACATAGTATTATTGCTATTTTCTCACACTGTGTACCTTCCTGTGCAAATCTCCCTCCCAAACGCTGACAATCAGCAGCTTATCTTCTTGATACCTAGATTCCTACTGGCCAACACCTCTCAATTCCTCTCTCAGCTACTTTTGTTTTCCTTTGTCCTACACTGTTTACCAACCCTTTCTCTTCCTCATTTTCTCCTTCTGCAAATAAAAACCTAAAAAAGAAACAGAAATTCCTTACTTTCTATCCTCCCTAATCTAGTGTTTCTCAATGCATGATCTTCTGATGCTCTTAATTAAAATCACTAGAGGGCTTTTAAAAACACTATACAGGTTCCCAGGCCCCACCTAGATCAACTGAATCATGTCTTTGGGAATATGGCCCGGGTCACCCATGTTTAATCAATCAGGTTGATTCATTCACAGGCTAAAGCTTGAGATCACCAACTTAACCACAAGGAAAAAAGAAAAACAAAACAATAACAACAAAAAAATTGCACCACTGTTGTCAAGCTTCATGATTTATAGAGTCAAGTACAAAAGCATATTGTACAGACTGATGACACAATGTACAACTGTGCTAGATACAGTGTCGTACATATGCTGTGATGTTAGAATATGAGGTACAGGCTTGCACACATTGCCCTTCAACCTGGAACCTCTTTTGCTCACTTATCTCATTTCTATGTCTTTCAAAACCAGATTTCTCCATGAAGCCTTCCCTGGCTCCTCCTGCCTCTCCTTTCAAAAGCCAGGTTCACATGTTGTTCACACCTCTCTTTATATTAATGATCAGACTGTATTTCTCATTGTTTCTTCATGGGGCTGTCTCCTCCTTCAAAGTATGAAGTTCATCAGAGCTATCTGTTTATCTCCAACAATTTATGAATATATGTGTCCCTATGCTATATGGCAAGTGCACAATAAATAGTTGTTGAATTAATGAACTATAAAAAACTAGAAGAACAAGAACCCATCCAAGTGATTTTGCAAAGTTTAAAATGAGACACTATAAATTATCTAGGTGAGTGCTGCATTAGAAATGAAATATATTATTCAAGTTCTACTCTCAGATTTTATTGATTTCCTTATGGAAAACATGTGCTGTGTTCAAAGTCAAAGAAGCTTTAATGCAAGTCAGATCTTCCTTCGTAATCCTTTGGAAATAGCCTTTGACAATGAGGAGAGAGTGAAATGTGACTTGTCACATTATAAATAAGGCTAAAAATACACACTTGATGTCATCTAGTGTTTGGTGTTCCAAGAACCAAAACTAGTCATTGCAACATTTCAGCTTAACATCTGCTCTTTCAACCTGTTCAGCTGGTTGTTTGTAAAACATTCCAGCTTATCTCTTCAAAGTAATGTGAGTGGGAGTAGGAACCCTTTGTTGAGAACATTTTTTAAGTAAGATTCTAGAGGGCCAGTTATTTGTGGAAACCAGCTGATGGAAGGGGGCAGCTGGAGGAGCCAGAGATAGGTGAAGAGAATAATTTGATCCTCCTGTGACTTTTCCTAGTGCTGACTTCCATCTTCCCAGCTGAGAACTCCTGTGATAGCTTCCTGTCTATCCCCCCACCTCCACCACTGGCTCATTCCTCCCTGCAGTCTAGTCTCTCCCCAAGCCCCACCACAGCAGACAACTTCAGCTGAAGAACATTTTGGTTTGAACTGTCCTAAAAATGGAGACACCCCTTTCTTGGATTTCTTTAATTGATATATCATACTTGTATGTATTTGGAGTTACATGTTATATTTTGATACATGTATACAACATGCAATGATTAAATCATGGTAATTGGATATCTGTCATCTCAAACATTTATCTTTTATCTTTTCTTTGTGTTGGGAACATTACACTTCTTCTCTTTTAGCTATTTTGAAATATAAATAAGTTATTATTAACTATAATTTCCCTTCTGTACTATTAAATACTAGAACGTATTCCTTCTATCTAACTGAATTTTTGTACCCATTAACCCAATTCTAAACATTCTACAACTATAAATCACTGGCAAGGAAAAAATGATAAATCAAAACAAAACATCAGAACTTAAAAACAGCTGGATTTTCTTCCAGGTGGAGTTGATGCCCTCTGAATTTTCTTGTAAGTTGTATACTTTCTTCAGAGAAGATCAGAATATTATCCTCTAGGATTAGGGTAACCTTTTATAGGAAGAACTGACACTCTCCAAATTCTCCCTCAACCAGCTTCTTAGTGCCCCACATTCCACAATTAGATGCTCATTTGTTGGTTTAAAACTTCTGTAGCTTTGCTTGTTTACTTTTCACTCCCTCATCGTGTTTATACATCATGACCTTAACATGGATACCTCAGAGTGGAAATATTTGTCAGATCTATTTCTAAGACCAAAAGACATTGGGGAGGATGCTGTTGTGAGGGTGGGGGTTGGGGAGTAACTGGGAGTTCCAGGGCCCACTTGGGCTGCCAGGAGGGAGGGAATCACAGGACGTCTTCAGGCCTATCTCATTTTCTTCACAATTTCCCCTGCCCCGTCCTACTCAGAATGTGAAAAAGCACAGCTTTTTGCCATATGTTCTTTGATTCCCCTGGTTAGCAATAGTCCTGAAATATCAAAATGCTTTTGCTATTTAAGACCTTAATGCTCTTTAAAGACTTTTTTATTAACTGTAGCACGTAAGTCCAAGTTACGGCAAGAGACTTAAAGTTGTTCGAGGCATTGCCAGTAATTCAGGACAGGATCACAAAAGCAATAAAAATGGGAGAAAGAAAAAGATGATGATGCATTGCTGATGCAGTACCTGAGATTTTCATGTCACAGGCTGAACATAGGTACAAGTTTTCCCACAGAAATAAATTCTACCAACTGTTATGTATCCGCAGCAGAGAAGGAAGGTATGATTCAGAAATTAATTTCTATCAAATTGTTTATAGCTCTATTTTGATTATCCACACTTTCATATTTGTAATATTATGTTAACAGAAAAGTAATCGCGGTTTTTGCCATTACTTTCAATGGCAAAAACCGCGATTACTTTTGCACCAACCTAATAGCTGAAAAAGAGTTAGCAAATAAAAACCTGAAAATGTACTATGCAGCCCTTTCTAAAACCTTTCCACAGCTCATCCTTTCTTCCAGCCATTAGGTCCAGCACCAAATTCTTTCCTTCTGCCTCTCCATTACCAGGACTAGTTAGTGCTTTAATGTTCCTTATTATTCACGAATTATCTGACCAAAATAACCCAGTCATTGTTAAAATTAATTCCTCTGAAACGGTTTAAAAATACGGCACATAAAATTTAATTAGGCTAATAAATACTTGGAATATTGTTAAGATATTACAAATGAAGGATACAGGAACTTATGGTCTAGTGGGGAATTTACAGTCTAGATCAAAACTATAGCCGCCAAGGAAGAAGACAAAGCAAATGCAGCTTTGCCATTGAAGAGGCACAGAGCGCTGTTGGAGCACCAAGGAGAGAGATATTATTTCTGTCTGAAAGGAGAAGGGAAATGCTCATAAAGGAGGAAGATGGTAGCTAATTGAGATAACCACCGATTTGTGAACACCACTTCTTTGAATGATCATTATGAAAAATATCTATGAACTAGATTCTTCTCTACATAGAAGTTTGAACAAAGCATTAAATGTTGAAGGCAGGAAGTTACCTAAACTACTAAATAAAAATAATTTATTTTTGTTATACCCTGACGTCTGTTAATAACAGATAACACTTCCTTGAAAGTCAGAGTTTCAGTTAAATACTGGGTAGAGAGTGAATTAAAAAGCAATAAACAAGTAACCCTTGTATACTTACATAACATCGTCTTTAAAAAGAGTATCCAGTATCAAAGTCAAGTGCCAAGGCTAAGGGAGGCAGCCTGGTGCCCTGGAAAGGGCATACATAGGCTTTGCCTATGGAGAGACCTATGTTCAATTGCCGGCTCTACCATTTGTTAGCTCTGCATGCTTTGATTTGGGCACTTTATCTTTTTCTCAAAGTTTTCAATTCTTTTCCTATAAAAGAGAAATGTTTTTAGATCTTACTAATGCACACACCTAGAAACTTAAATTCAGTGTCTGAAAAAAAATCACGGTTTAGCCTAATAATTTTGTTAATTTATTTCATTTTCTTGAATTGTGGTGTCTGATGCCAACCTTTGGAAGGCTAAGGCGGGAGGACTGCTTGAGCCCAGGAGTTCAAGACCAGC
This sequence comes from Homo sapiens, assembly GCF_000001405.40. Taxonomy (NCBI): domain Eukaryota; kingdom Metazoa; phylum Chordata; class Mammalia; order Primates; family Hominidae; genus Homo; species Homo sapiens. The sequence continues at coordinate 39,006 of NW_003315913.1, read as the reverse complement.
CTGGGCAACATAGTGGGATCCTGTCTCTACAAAAAAAACAAAAAATTAGCGGGAGTGGTGGCATGTACCTGTAGTACCAGCTACTAGGGAGGCTGACGTGGGAGGATTGCTAGAGTTCAGCAGGTCGAGGCTGCAGTGAGCCGATTACAGCACTGTACTCCAGCCTGGGAGACACGAGATCTTGTCTCAAAATAAAATAAAATAAAATAATTTAAAAATTTAAACAAATCACTCTCTCCCTTTCTCTCTTCCTTGCTTCCTTATCTCCCCTCCCTACTCTCTCATTGTATTATATATGCTGCAATTCTATCCACAGGTAGACTAGCTTGTAATCCTACTTACTGAAAATTTTACTAATAAATTTCTCACATAATAATAAAAATAAGGATAATAAAGAACACCAAAGAATTAATACTATCCCCGGTAATGAAGAGACAGAAGGAAGCAATCCATGTCCCATCTGAGGGTTTGAGGAAAGAAGAGGAGGTATGGAAGCCTTCAGATGGGGCAGCAAGGTACATTTTTCACAGATCCTCTAAGGTTTTTAAGAGGACATATTTTCCCTAGAGATTCTCCAAGACACACCTGCCAAATACAAATTTCAAATTGCTCTCTATATGCTAGTGTTCCTGATTTGTATGGCTGATAATTGCCTTTTAAAGGGGCTTCATATTTAGGATCACACCTTACCTTCTCCACACCATGACGAACCTGGGGCAGTAAATATCACCACCCCATGTAGCATTTCATCAGCACACAATATCCATCCTACGCTGAGTTTTCCTTGGTGCCCAGCTAACTAGTGTTAGAGCCCAGCCTTAACTCAGATGTTGAGTAATTCCAATTGCTAGGCATTCTGACCTCAAGCTTGTGGGGTGCCCTTCCTGATCTTTCTTAATAATGACAATATCACCTACCTTGTCCCAGACAAAATGCCAAGTGCTTAGCATGCACTCTTGATTACCTGTAACCTCAATGCACATTAGGAAAGACTGTGCTTGCTTTACAGATGAAGAAATGATGAGGCTCAGATCGGTTAAGAAACTCACCTTAGATTGGGTGTGATGGCTTATGCCTGTAATCCCAGCATTTGGGGAAGCCAAGGCAGAAGGATAGCTTGAGGCCAGGAGTTTGAGGCCAGGAGTTTGAGACTAGCCCAGGCAACACAGTGAGACCCTCTACAAAAAATAAATTTAAAAAATTAGCCAGGCATGATGGTGTGCCTGTAAGTCCCATCTACTTGAGAGGCTGAGTAGGGAGGATTGCTTGAGCCCAAGAGTTTGAGGCTTCAGGGAGTCATGATCATACCACTGCACTCCAGTGAGAGAAATTTGCCTTAAATCACATCGTTAGTGAATTCCAGAAGCAAAGTGCAAACCCAGGCACATTCTACATATTTCCCAAATGTCTTTTTCAAATCAATGTCACTGCAAAATAAGAAAAAATAAAAAACTAATGTCACTGCAACCTTCCTTTCCATTGAACTTCCATTGCTTTCTGTCTGAGTCTTATTTAGAAGGAAGTCTGCAAACTTCTTCCCTTCTCCACTCACCATTTCACTGTAAGGTCTTTATGACCAATAAATGACTTGCTGTATTTTTCCTACAATGCCTAGCACTGTAAGAGCTTAGACATATTTTTAAGTGATTAACACCATTTTTGAAAAGCTGTCCCAAAGAAACCAAAGCTAGGCCTGTGACTCCAGGTACTTCACTCCTATTGAAAAGTAGTAAATAATTAAGAGAAAGCATACAAATTAGTAGAATCTTAAATTTCCATAGGAGGCAAATAAGTAACCCCATTTTTATTTGCCAGTGAAGTAAAAAATGTGATCACTTACATGCCCATTTATGCCCACTCTTACCAAAATCTTTGAGGTGGCCCATCCATTTACGAAGACACAGTCTACTGTGAGTAGACATCCGCAGAAACTTCTAGATGATGATATTTTCCAATGCTAATTATTTGATAAAGAAGTTTAAAGGAACTCATAGTTAAAAACTCTTTGCTATTGTGAATAGTGCTGCAATGAACATACAGGTTCATGTATCTTTATAATAGAAGGATATATATTCCTTTGGGTTGCAGGAACATAAAACTAAATACTGCGTTCTCACTTATAAGTGGGAGCTGAACAATAAGAACACATGGACACAGGGAGGGGAACAACACAGACTGGGGCCAGTCAGGGGGTGAGGGTTGGGAGAACATCAAGAAAAATAGCTAATGCACACTGGGCTTAATACCTAGGTGATGGGTTGATAGGTGCAGCAAACCACCTATCAAACCATGGCACATGTTTACCGATGTAACAAACCTGCACATCCTGCACATCTGCACATGTATCCCAGAACTTAAAATAAAACAAACAAACAAACAAAAAACTCTTGACATGCATTGAATCAGTTCAGTCTCTTCTGTAGCTTTCAACCAGCTGCTGTGCTGGTTATGGCAGATCTCTCTGTGAATGTAACCTTCACGTGTTGCTGTTGTTGTTGTTGTTGTTTTCATTAATGTTCTTAGGAGTCTGCTGTTCTTCCTGGACACTCAGAGCAGGAACAGGAATACACAGAGCCTCAGAGTTGGCAAAGTTTATTATTTGACTATCCTTTTTCAAGGGGGGAGGTGGACTCAGGCTAACATACAATATCCTGTATCATAAAGTTCCAAATAGTAAGTTCCAAAACCAAATGAGAAGTTTTCATTGTTTCTTGAAGAAATAAATAAGATCACAAAACAGACAGCTTAATCTTTTGTTGATTGTTTGTATTTAAGGTAACATATTAATATAAATTCATCTCAAATATTTAATAATCCTTAGACACCAGAAACAGAATAATCTCTTCTTTTGATGGGGAGGGGCTGATATTTGGGTTGTGATTCACTGTCTTGGACCAGCAGACCACCAAAATGAATTTCCAATCTATAATAAATAGTGACGATGGAGTCTAAAAACTCTGGAGAAACATTTACTACTAACTACTGTTCCCTAAATGTCAAGATGTGCCCAATTCCTCTCTGGAAATATTACAGATGAAAATTACATCAATCCTTATTCACGTCTTCAGTTCCAGGAAAATATAAGCTCTCAGTCACTTGGGGAATTTTCTGGGAGAGAAGGAAATTAGTTTCAAATGGTTTGGTAATCATCTGAAAGGCGTATCTGTCAAAGTGAATCAGCCTGAAGGTTTAGAGAAACATTTATGTTGTTGCTGCTTTGTTCAACTGAACAGAACCCTCTGAAGAAATCTGAAGAGCTAGCTTCCTCACATTCTCCAAGTCTTTTCTGAAATCACCTTCCCAATGAGGCCTTCCCCACAACCCTTTTTAAAGCTGTTAACTCTCCTCCTAACAATTTTCTACCTTCCTTTCCTATTTGCTTTTCTCCAAAGCACTTATTACCAGGTGACAAACTATATATTCTACTATTTTATTTATATATCGCCTATCTTCTTCAACTAAAATGTAAACTCCATGAAAACAGAAATTGTTTTCCTGCCATATCCCCTTCACCTAAAATAGGCAGATACAGGTGCTCAGAAAATTCTTACTAAACGACCAAGATAATCAATAAATAAATAATCTAAGATAGTACTCTTATTGAAATTAAAGCCATACATTCAGAGCTGCCAAGAAATAATAGTTTTTTCTTTATTTTTATGAGCCAGATTTATTTTCAGCAAAGCTACAGATTTTTAAAGAAAATATGTGTGTGTCTTCAAACCACACACTTGGAAAGCAATAAATGACACTGAATGTTTCAGGAGTGAAAACATGGCTCGTGAAACATATTTTTTCATTAGTATTGTCTCTCAAGCAGTTACAAAAGGTGAATGACTTGAATATTCAAATACATGGCGCTTTCTGCACTGAGGCTAAAGGAAAGAAGCACCAAGCTAAGAACCAAGACGAGTGGGGTTTTGAGTGTGTGTGTGTGTGTGTGTGTGTGTGTGTGTGTGTTACTATTACTAGAGAGCTGTTTCTCTACTTGCATTAAAAAAAAAAAAAGTGTGGCCAGGCGCGGTGGCTCACACCTGTAATACCAGCATCCCAGCACTTTTGGAGGCCAAGGCGGGTGGATCACGAGGTCAGGAGATGGAGACCATCCTGGCTAACACGGTGAAACCCCGTCTCTACTAAAAATACAAAAAATTAGCCGGGCGTGGTGGCGGGCGCCTGTAGTCCCAGCTACTCGGGAGGCTGAGGCAGGAGAATGGCCTGAACCCGGGAGGCGGAGCTTGCAGTGAGCCAAGATCGCGCCACTGCACTCCAGCCTGGTGACAGAGCAAGACTCCGTCTCAAAAAAAAAAAAAAAAAAAAAAGCAACAGCAACAACAAAACGTGTGGGATGGAAAGTGACTCCAAAGTTCTGTGCCTCAGTTTCCCAGGCTATAAAGCCCTTTCACCCTTTCTAAGGAAAGAATATACTGTGACAGTAAAATGGTAAAGTAAAATCAATTTGAAAAATATAAATACAATGTTATTATTGCCAAATATTGATAATATTTATTGACATATATTTACTGATAATAAAGATGTATGCTTTGGCACTATGTTATACTTAACTTTAAATTTAGGAAAATGTTGGACCATATTGAACACAAAATGTTTGCAAATATATCAAAGATAGATATGCTTCCTTGACTGTGCCATAAAGAGAAGATGGGAAAAGGAAATCTTGACTTTCCTATGGTTTGATTTTATGAAAACAAGTTATCTAGTCTACAGATATAAAAAGAACATATTATATGCGCCATTGAAATGAATAGTAAACTTAGGAATTAATTTAAGATTTAGTTGTCTATTAATTTGGCAATAGAGTAATCAAGTTCCACAGATTTTTATGTGAACATTTTGAAATAATAGTAAGATCTACATTTACTTATTTATCTATAATTTCCTAAATAAAAAAATTAAAATTGTAAATTGTAGCATACCTGTGTCATGAAATAGGAGAACTGATAACTCAAATATGTTCACTCAGTCATGCTATGGTGAAAAGTTGAGCCAACTCTTTGGTAGATAAATATTTTGGAATTCCTGTCTTCAGTTAAGTGGCTGGCTCTGAAACACACTCTAAGAAACAACGAAACGAGCTGTGAATTTAGCATTGTGCCTTCCAGTTTGTTTATGCTGCCAGTTAAGTACCATGTATAGTCTTGACCAATGTTTATTCTCTGGGACTCAGTTTCCTTCTCTGTGAAAGGAGGTAATTGAATTAAATTATCACGGGAGCATCACAGAATGTTAGGACTAAAGGAGCTTTGGGGATTGTTTTGTCTAACTCCTTTGTGTTATAGAAGAAACCAATGCTAAAGTGCCTATATCTGTTGGATACGATGATTCTATTACTACTCTTCCAAGTCAGATATCTTACAGTAACATCCCCACATCCCACAAAGGAAATTAAATTGAATTAAGCCTTCTATTCAAAAAGCATAGTAAAGGATATTATCCAAATAAATAAAATGTGTCAGAAGTAAATTTCTAACCTATGACTAGCAATGCTATTTCTAAATATCCCCCTACCCCCAATTTGAAATAGATCTACTCATTCACACAGAGTTAAAACTAGAGTTGTTTCTCTTCCTTAGAGCATGGAGAGACCAGCATAAGGCCTGAACCCATATTGATACATAACTGCTGTAGTTGCTGAAACAGCATTTGGTAAAAGTTAATAATCATTATGGATTAAAATCATTCATAAAATAGCAAAAGATGGACATTTTCTGGTTATTTATAAATACATTTATAACTAAAAGATCTAGCATCAAGCTTAAGAATACAGGTGATACAGATGATAAACAGCTTCTAATTAACTTTAACACTCTAAGACAAAAACAGAAGGGGAGAAAGGCAGTGAAGGAGAAAGGAGGAGAAGAAGAAAGATGGGAAGGAGGAGGGGTGGGGGAAGGATAAGAGAAAGAAAGAAAAGTATGTTACCGAACTTGCAGAAAAAGAAGCAAAATTAACATTATTTTCAAATGATAGGATTGTAGAGATTGAAAAAACAAGACACTCAAGTAAAAGAGACTCAAAGTCAAAACCACTACAAACTATAAGAGATCTGGTATAAACATAAACATGCTTCAATAAAAGCAATAACCATTTTTCAAACATTATATAAGAGATCATATGTAGTATTTCTAGGCAAAGGTAGTATAACTACAGAATAATTAGCAAGAAAGTGAAGAAATGTTTTAGAATGCTTCTGAAAGACAGAAACATACTTGCTCAAAAGGAAAGCCTACCTTGCTCTTGGATAAGATTTATCATTATAAATCACAAACCAGAATCACAAACTGGAAAGAAGGAGAGGAAAGCTCACAGAGTTCTGTTTTATTAATGTAAAAAATAAAGCTTTCCCCAAAATGCCTAGCTGACTTCTCTTCACCCTTGGTAATATGAATGTGATTTGCATACGCATCCATTTCTTTTACACAAAATTACTGAGCATCAATATCAGGCAAGTACTCTTGTTATGAGTTTGGTTATTAATAATAATGTTATTAATAATCTGACCCTGAATGTTGGAAACAATTATAAATTGTAGAGTTGACGAGAAAATACTTGATTGAACTCCTGTGGGAATCACCTAAGTATATTCTGTCCAGTGAAAATCTTTCATAAATAACAGTCATTTGTTAAACTGGTTAAAATAAGTAGTCCAGATCACAATATTTTTTCTCCTACTCTTCTCAGTTATCATTTACCAATCAAAGTATTTTTTCCACATTCTGTAGACACAGATCTAAGTGACATGAGGTATATAAAAAGACATTTTATATACACAAGATCCTTTCGGTTTAATTAGAGAAATAAGACCTACATTCTGAAAAGAAAACATAACATAAGCAAGAGTGAAATATTCCTAAGTAATACTTATAGATTTTTTAAATTGTAGTTCTGATTAGCTAGCAGTTTCCCAAACGTTCACACTTGTTTTTTTTTAATTTACAATTCCATTCTGTTCTCTCCTTCCCTTTCTCCTTATTCTTTGAAACTCAGATCAAGGGTTAGCTTCTGTATAAAATCTTGTCCAACCACCCCATATCCTAATAGAATTCACTATTTCCTCCTTGTGCTTTATGTACCCTCTGCATAATATTTCAACAGCATCTTACAAATTCTTGCGCGTATTTCTTTGCATGCTTGTCTTATCCAAGATCATGCTCATTCAACTTTTTGTACCTGTCACCTGGCACAATGCTGCAAACATAAGAGATCAATTGATTAAGTGAATAAAATGATGGGAGTTTGACTATTAAAAAAGGAAATAGAGTCTGGGCATGGTGGCTTATACCTGTAATCTCAGCACTTTAGGAGGCTAAGGTGGGAGCATCACTTGAGGCCAGGAGTTCAAGACCAGCTTGGGCAACATAAAAATACCCTGTCTTTATTAATAAAATTTTTAAAACAAAATTAAAAGGAGATAGACTATAATGTTTTATGGAACAAAAAAACTAGAGGAGCACAATTGTGTTGTCCTTGGATTCGTTTTGAACTTCTTAAAATAAGAAATGAACCCAATTTACTTTACTGCTCCTGGGATAGAAAGTTCAAGGACCAAAGATATTTTCCTGTTTCTGTGCTACACAAAACTGGAGCTAGGCAAAAGTCACTTAGCTACTTGCTGCAGTAAATACATGCTCTAGAAGATAAAACTATGAAACAACAAAAATAGCTTAGTGTTTAAGACTAATAGCGTATTTCTGGACCCTTTCCTTGCCATGCCCACCAAACCAAAGTTATTATGCTCCAAACCCTGACCAATCCCAAACAGCTCCATCTTGCAAAATCTGCCTTAAAACCACCCAATGCCCTGTATATTTTTCTTCCTGTAACTTCCTTCTTTAGAGAATTTATTGACAATCTCAAACATGTTGATGTTCTCCTTTAGTGTAGTAAGTCTAATTAACTGAGCTTTACTTGATCAATATGTTTATCTAGTGGTCTTTGATGGCATTAAGGGCCAATAGTAGCCTTAAAATGAATTTATATATATATTCCCCAGTTTTGAAGAACAGTTTATCTATAATGGGGAAGCTGATTTTGTGTTATTTACCTTAGATTCTGTTATCCCCCAAAAGGAGGAAGCATGAGCTAATTTATAAAAACACAAAGTATTTTTTATTCACTTTTTAAATGACAGCTAAAGTTATACATTTTTTAACTCACTTCCTCTTTTAACAATATTTCCTCATATTTATAACTTCATTGAATGGCATTACCTAAAAGATAACCACTTATTTTATTTTTAACAGTTTTATTAAAGTATAATTTTGTCTTAGCTTGTTTGCTGCTGCTATAACTGAATGCCAGAGATTGGATAATTTATAAAGAAAAGAAATTTATTTCTTACAGTTCTGGAGGCTGAGAGTTCCAATGTCACATGACTGTCTCTGGAGAATCTTCTGCCAGTGGCGACTCTCTGGAGAGTCCTGAGATGGCACAATGCATCCCATGGTGAGGGAACTTAGAGAGACAGCCAAACTGACTATACAACAGACTCACTCTCATAACTCACCCACTCCTGTTATAACCCATTAACCTATTAACCCATTAACCTATCAACCCATTAATATAGTAATCCATGAATGGATGAATAAATTCATGAGGGCAGAGTCCCAATAACCCAATCACCTCCCAAATATTCCACCTCTCAACCCTGCCGCAGTGGGGATCAAGCCTCTAACAAATAAGCTTTTCCAGGATACATTTAAACCATATCAAATTTACATACCCACTTATTTTTATAGTAATATTTGGGGTTAATCATAAAATGCATATTCATTATTAAAAACTGGAAAAAATACAAACAAATATAAATTCTCAACTGTCTGATAAATCCATCTTAAAATTTTGGTCTATTACCACAAATTTGTTTTTCCACTACATACACACACACACACACACACACACACACACACACACACACACATTAAAAGTAATTGAAATACTATTTCATATGCCATTTTATAATTTGCTTTTTCTCTTGTTATATTATAAAAAATGTTCTGCTTTTATCATAAATACTTCAAAAACTTTACATTCATATTTATGGTGAAGTAATACGATGCTTGAGATTTCCTTCAAAATAATCAAGGTGGAAGCAGGGGGAGGCCAATGGATAAGCGAATAATAAAAATAAGCTAGTGTTTAGTTGATATCTGTTCAAGCTGAATGATGACTACATGTGAGATCTTTATATGTTTATTCTCCATACTTTTGTATGTTTGGTATTTTCTATAAAAAATTTAAAATCTTTATTTTTAGTATTTACATTATATTTTATTTACATATTTACTTCATTTTATGTAACTATTCTATTTATTAATTTTCATTAGAGATTTAGATTATTTATAGTTTCTTACTATTGAAAACACCGTGATAGGGTCTTTGTACATAAATATTTGTATTTCTTTGTATGAGACTTTCAGTGATAGCTGAAAGTTCGGAAAACTTCACATCTCTGTTTATTTATTTACAAAATATATGAAAAAAAGCCTGCTCTTGTACTTGCCTCCTGGCATACATAGTAAAACAGTATAAACATTTTTATTTTTATTTTTTATTTATTTTATTTTTATTTTTAATTTTTTAATTTTTTATTTATTTATTTTTTATTTTTTATTTTTTTTTGAGATGGAGTCTCACTCTGTTGCCCGGGCTGGAGTGCAGTGGTGTGATCTCGATTCACTGTAAGCTCCGCCTCCTGGGTTCACGCCATTCTCCTGCCTCAGCCTCCTGAGTAGCTGGGACTACAGGCACCCACCACCACGCCCGGCTAATTTTTTGTATTTTTAGTAGAGACGGGGTTTCACTGTGTTAGCCAGGATGGTCTTGATCTCCTGACCTCATGATCCACCCGCCTCGGCCTCCCAAAGTGTTGGGATTACAGGCGTGAGCCACCGCGCCCGGCAAACAGTATAGACATTTTAAAACTTCTTTATGTCCATTACTAAATAGTTTCATGGGAAAGTTGTTTCAAAGAAATTTTAAAACATTTTAGCATCTTAATCAGTTTGGGTGGCTGTAACAAATATAACATAGACTGGGTGGTTAAAACAATAGAAATGTATTTCCTAACATTCTGGAGACAGATGTCCAAGAGCAAGGTGCCAGCGCTTCAGTTACTGGTGACGACTCTCTTCCTGGTTTGCTGATGGCCAACATCTTGCTGTATCCTCCCACAGTGAGAGAGAGAGATCATCTCTCTTGTGTCTCTTCTTACAAGGTCACTGATCCCATTAATAAGGGTTTCATTACCTAGTTAACCTAATTAACTCCCAAAGGCCCCACCTCCTCATCACACTGGGGATTAGGTTTAAATCTTTGAATGTGAGGGAACATGAACATTCAGTCTATAACAGACATGTCTATTTATTTTCTGAATTGTTTATACTTGTTCTTGACCATTTATTCGATGCAGGATGCTTCATGATGAGGGGGCTAGAGCATGCTAATCTGGCTTTTATAACATAATCACTCTTGTGATAACTAACCCTCTCCCATGATAACCTATTAATTCATTAACCTATTTATCCATTCATGAGGGCAGAACCCTCATGACCCAATCACTTTTAAAAGGCCCACCTCTTAATACTGTTACACTGGGGATTAAGTTTCAACATAAGTTTCAAAGGAGACAAATATTCACACTATAACACTTTGCTCCTGGCCCCCCAAAACTCATATTCTTCTCCCATACAAGTAGATTCATTCTACCCTCACATCCCCAAAGTCTTAATTCACTTCAGCACCAACTCAAAAGTTCAAAGTCCAGAGTTTCATCTGCATCAGATATGGGTGATACTCAAGTGACAATTCATCTTGAAGTAAATTCTCCTTCGGTTATGAACCTTTGAAATTAAACAAGTTATCTACTTCCAAAAATACAATTGTGAGACAGGAATAGAACAAGCATTCCCATTCCTTCAGGGAGAAATAGCCATCCCCCCAACAAAAAAAAAAGAAGATGAAGAAAGAGAAGAAAAGGGAGAAGAAGGAGAAGGAGGAGGAGGAGGAGGAGGAGGGGGAGGAGGAGGAGGGGAAGAAGAAGAAGAAGAAGAAGAAGAAGAAGAAGAAGAAGAAGAAGAAGAAGAAGAAGAGAAGGAGAAGAAGAGGAGGAGGAAGAAGAAGAAGAGGGGGAAGAAGAGGAGGAGGAGGAGGAAAGAAGGAGGAGGAGGCAGAGGAGGAGGAAGAGAGGGGAGGGGGAGGGGGAGAAGAAGAAGAGGAGAAGAAGAAAGTAGTATCAAGTCCCAAGTAAGTCTAAACCCCAACAGGGAAAACTACTTTAAATCTTACAGCTGGAGAATAATCTCCTTTGACTCCATTTCCAGCATCCTGGGCTCACCAGTGCAGGCATTGGGCCCTAAAGGCTTCAGGCAGCCTTGCCTTCTCACTATGTGATGTCCTGTGCCACCCTGAAACTCTACAGAGGGTCCTTACCTGTAAAAAGGCCCTTACCAGATGCCACCCCTCAACCTTGAACTTCCCAGTCTCCAGAATTGTAAAAAATATTTTTTTTCTTTATAACTTACCCAGTCTCAGATATTCAGTTATAGCAACAGAAAACAGAATAAGACGCATTTCGTAGAGGTTTCTATAGATGATACATAGATGCATGAATGGATAGATGCTCTTTATAAATTAGAATATTAATCAATCAGTTAACTTATTTGTGGAAAGCATTTTTACTCAGCTTGTCAATAATGAATTTAAATATTTTAATGTAGAAAAGGTTTTTGTTTAACTTTTATGTGCCCAAATATATTAGTCTTTTGCATTGATATTCTGCCTTTTCTATGTTTAAAATATCCTTTAAAGGGGCCTAAGTATTTATTTTGGAAGTGTGTGTTTTCTATGAAAGAATTCTCCAAGATACAAAACCACTCTCTCCTTTAAGAGATGTTTTTACTTAATGAATGTCCATAAAAAAGAAAAGGATATAATAACACCATTCTATGTTTTTATATGTTAGATTTTAGTTAATTCTATACATTAAGTTACACTTAATTGGCATTATTTTTGAAGACTGAAATATATGTTGGATGAATGAAACAAAATAGAAAATAAAAGAGTAATAACAAAATAAATATTTAGTGCCAGGCACGGTGGCTCATGCCTGTAATCCCAGGCCTTTGGGAGGCTGAGGCGGGAGGATCACTTCCTGAGGTCGGGAGTTCGAGACCAGCCTGACCAACATGGAGAAACCCTGTCTCTACTAAAAATACAAAATTAGCTGGGTGTGGTGGCGCATGCCTGTAATCCCAGCTACTTGGGAGGCTGAGGCAGGAGAATCACTTGAACCCAGGAGGCGGAGGTTGTGGTGAGCCGAGATCACGCCATTGCACTCCAGCCTGGGCAACAAGAGTGAAACTTAATCTCAAAAAAAAAAAAAAAAACCTCAAAAAACAAAACCAACCAAACAAACAAAAACAAAATAAATATTTGGTAAGTGGATAAATAAACGAATCCCTATAAATTAACATAACTCCAAGTTGTCACAGTTGATAGTTAAATGCTTAACTGAATATTTTGCCATTTTAAGAATTACTGTTAATATTTTTCTATCTTTATCCTAAAAAGGATTCTTCTCGACCTTTGTATGCTATTTTAATCACTCCCTTAAAGCTCTATTTAATCACTCCCTTAAAGCTCATAATTTTTATCTGCCCTTGCTTTTTATAGTTTCCTTTCAGCGCTTCATATTTCCTTCCCTTTGTAGTTTATTTGATCCATAAAGAGCGTACTTAAAATTTTTCCTACTTCCGCACTGTTAGGTTCTCATTAAGCTTATTTCATATGCCCAGCATAATTTGAATGTCTTATTTCCCATTACTGCAAATTTCTTCACATATTCAGAGTTCTCTAATTTATTTTAAGTAAAAGAAGAGTAAAGTAATTAAGACACAGCATACATGGAACAATATAGGAGAAAAGTAGTTCTTTTTAGGTACTAGCTTTTAATATGTAATAAGAGAAATTTAAAATGAAAATTAAGTCTGTATTTATATGGTGAAATAAATATAAAAATTGTTTAAGAAAATTATAAATTAAAAATAGTGATATAGACATTAAAGGTGAAAAAACACACCATCATTTTGGGTAAATTACTTTTCATAGCTATAACTCACAAAAAAACCTTGACATTCAATCTTATAAATGAAGTAGCTTTCAGTTAACATATGCATTTTAATCAAATGTAACATTAGAGGGTAGAACATTGTCTGACCCAAAATAGAGGTTTCATGCATATTTTTTCAAATGTAAATATGTAAACAAAACTTACCAAAAAATGTGGCATTAAAATTTTTCTGACCTTAGCAAATGCTTTTAAACATATTTTAGAAGTTCATAGGCTTTCCAAAGTCATCTATCATTACAAGAATAGCTGTCATTGCTTTTAGTAAAAGTTTCAATTTTCATTGATATCACCATAATTATTACATTACAGGCTTCTTTTTTTTTTTTTTTACTGTTTCTGTTACCTCACTTCCAATTCCTATACTTCACTTTACCTTTTCTTATTTTTTTATTTTATTATTATTACACTTTAAGTTTTAGGGTACATGTGCACAACGTGCAGGTTTGTTACATATATATACATGTGCCATGTTGGTGTGCTGCACCCATTAACTTGTCATTTAGCATTAGGTATGTCGCCTAATGCTATCCCTCCCCCCTCTCCCCACCCCACAACAGTCCCCGGTGTGTGATGTTCCCCTTCCTGTGTCCATGTGTTCTCATTGTTCAATTCCCACCTATGAGTGACAGCATGCGGTGTTTGGTTTTTTGTCCTTGCGATAGTTTGCTGAGAATGATGGTTTCCAGTTTCATCCATGTCCCTACAAAGGACATGAACTCATCATATTTTATGGCTGCATAGTATCCCATGGTATATATGTGCCACATTTTCTTAATCCAGTCTATCGTTGTTGGACATTTAGGTTGGTTCCAAGTCTTTGCTAGTGTGAATAGTGCCGCTATAAACATACGTGTGCATGTGTCTTTATAGCAGCATGATTTATAGTCCTTTGGGTATATACCCAGTAATGGGATGGCTGGGTCAAATGGTATTTCTAGTTCTAGATCCCTGAGGAATCGCCACACTGACTTCCACAGTGATTGAACTAGGTTACAGTCCCACCAACAGTGTAAAAGTGTTCCTATTTCTCCACATCCCCTCCAGCACCTGTTGTTTCCTGACTTTTTAGTGATCGCCATTCTAACTGGTGTGAGATGGTATCTCATTGTGGTTTTGATTTGCATTTATCTGATGGCCAGTGATGATGAGCATTTTTTCATGTGTTTTTTGCCTGCATAAATGTCTTCTTTTGAGAAGTGTCTATTCATATCCTTTGCCCACTTTTTGATGGGGTTGTTTTTTCTTGTAAATTTGTTTGAGTTCATTGTAGATTCTGGATATTAGCCCTTTGTCAGATGAGTAGGTTGCAAAAATTTTCTCCCATTCTGTAGGTTGCCTGTTCATTCTGATGGTAGTTTCTTTTGCTGTGCAGAAGCTCTTTAGTTTAATTAGATCCCATTTGTCAATTTTGGCTTTTGTTGCCATTGCTTTTGGTGTTTTAGACATGAAGTCCTTGCCCATGCCTATGTCCTGAATGGTATTGCCTAAGTTTTCTTCTAGGGTTTTTATGGTTGTAGGTCTAACACTTAAGTCTTTAATCCATCTTGAATTAATTTTTGTATAAGGTGTAAGGAAGGGATCCAGTTTCAGCTTTCTACATATGGCTAGCCAGTTTTCCCAGCACCATTTATTAAATAGGGAATCCTTTCCCCATTGCTTGTTTTTGTCAGGTTTGTCAAAGATCAGATAGTTGTAGATATGTGTCATTATTTCTCAGGGCTCTGTTCTGTTCCATTGGTCTATATCTCTGTTTTGGTACCAGTACCATGCTGTTTTGGTTACTGTAGCCTTGTAGTATAGTTTGAAGTCAGGTAGCGTGATGCCTCCAGCTTTGTTCTTTTGGCTTAGGATTGACTTGGCGATGCGGGCTCTTTTTTTGGTTCCATATGAACTTTAAAGTAGTTTTTTCCAATTCTGTGAAGAAAGTCATTGGTAGCTTGATGGGGATGGCATTGAATCTATAAATTACCTTTGGCAGTATGGCCATTTTCACGATATTGATTCTTCCTACCCATGAGCATGGAATGTTCTTCCATTTGTTCATTGAGCAGTGGTTTATAGTTCTCCTTGAAGAGGTCCTTCACATCCCTTGTAAGTTGGATTCTTAGGTATTTTATTCTCTTTGAAGCAATTATGAATGGGAGTTCACTCATGATTTGGCTCTCTGTTTGTCTGTTATTGGTGTATAAGAATACTTGTGATTTTTGTACATTGATTTTGTATCCTGAGACTTAGCTATTTGAAGAATTGCCACACAGCTTTACACAAAAGTTGAACTAATTTACACTTCTACCAACAGTATAAAAGCAGATGATAGTATCTGACTGTTGTTTTGATTTGCATTTCTCTAATGATCAGTTGTGTTGAGCTTTTTTTCATATGCTTGTTGGCAGAGTGTGTGTCTTCTTTTCAAAAGTATCTGTCCTTTGCCTACAAATTTCTATGTCTTGATGCCAGGTCTTCAACACTCATTGAGAATTTTTGGTCTTTATCTGATAGCTTAAAGTCCAAATTTAAATATAAACTTATTACAGTCTGTATGCCCATATCGCTAATTGTTTTACCTTTGTTCGTATCATATAAGGAAATCACTCTCTTTTAATTGAATTATCAGCTATAAGTTGGCTGCAGATATCTATTACCTGGGAATGGGTTCTTTAGGGAGTGGAGAGCATCTTCTTTTCTACTTCTATACTCTTATTGCTCTATCCCTCTGACTTCTTTGAAGGGAAACAATTATACAGGCCATTCTGACCTTTTGCTATTAAAGAAAACTTGGAGGCTAATCACCACCTGTAAAAGTATTTTCCATGATGCTGAAATTACTGGTTCTGTGGTATGTGTGTGTCACACAATGAGACGTCCTTTATGATTAGAACAGCCTAGGATTGTACTATGAAATCATCTTATTCACACTCTGTGTGAACCACATCCAAGGGGCTTGAATAAGACAGGAAATGTTTTTCAATTCATTTTCAAGAGTTTTCTTGGTGTACTGAGATTTCAGCAAGTTTGGGAAGGAGAAGAAGGAAATGCTATGAGAACTTGACACGAAGTGCAATGCCACATGCAAGAGCAAAAGAAAAGAAACTGCAAGATGGATACTGCCACAAAAGAAACTTGAAACATTCATTTGGGGACAGGGAAAGGGGAAGACCAAAGAGAAAGGAAATAGTCCTATTATCCATTTTGTTGGCTTCTCTATTGCTGGTCAAATTATCTGAGCTCTACAACTTTCCACATGTAATTGATTTTCCTATTTATTGGCAAAATGACTTAAGACTGAAGGTGAGTCAGTGGCTCAACCTAGAAGGAAATTCGTACATAGTTCTTGGTCAACTTGTTAATATTTCTTTTTTAGTTCAGTGCTTAGTATAGTTTCCAAGTAATAAATCTTAATAATTCTTGAAAACGGAAGGAAAGAAGTCAGGTTAAAATACAAGCAGCAAAATAAATATATGATTTAAGCTGCTTTTCTACATACAGCTAAACTTTTAGAAGTAGAGTTTGTTTTTATTGGGCTAACACACATCATGTCAGGAGGTCTTAATAATGCTGGCAAGCAAGAAAGCTGATGGAAAGTTTCTCTGGCTAACAAAAATCCTTTTTTAAGAACACATGGAAGATATCCATTTCAGAGAATTTAGAAATCCATGGGGAAAAAGAAATTCCGAAAGACATTATTTTTGTTCTGGCTCTCGTGTTTTCTCTTTCTCCCCTTTGCCTCTACTTACAGAAAGAAAATCAAGGATTTCTTACTTCATAGGTCAATGAATCAAGATACTGAATCTCTGCACACTCACAACTGTATGCACTGCCCATGTGGCCTCAGGCAAAAGTAGCTGGCCTTCACATTCAAATTGTACAAATAATAAATGGCCATAGATTAGTACTTTAAGATTTGGAAACTGAAAATAAACATTTGGTGAGTTTTCAGTGAAAACATTAAAATATGTTTTCCAGGTGTTATTTTATAGGGATATCATTTATAAGGTGGGATATTATCATTTGTAAGGTTTCTTTGAACATATGTGAATTTTTGCATATGACAAGCTAAATTAGAAAATGTGTATTCTCAGTTGTTTCTTCCCAACTTGATTTATAACAATCCAACAACAATCATTTAATATTTTCTTCTTCCTTTTGAACCAACCTACTATGTGCACTTTACAAAGTTATAGATTAGCTGGACAGCCTAAGGCCTGTCAAACATATACCCAGTCAACTAAACCTTGGTGCTATGGTTTGAATGTATCCTCTAAAATGCATGCTGAAGTTTAATTGTCCTTGTGATGGTATTAAGTGGTGGGACCTTTATGAGGTGATTATTATTAATGCCATTATCTAGAGAGTAGATTAGTTATCTCAGGAGTGGGTCCTATACAAGGATAAGTTTGCTCCCATTTTCTCTGTGTCTCACATGCTCACTCTCCATGTAATGCCTTCTGCCATAGACTGACCCTCAGCAGATGCTGGTGCCATGCTTTTGAACTTCCCAGCCTCCAGAACCATATGCCAAATAAATTTCTACTATTTATAAATTACCCAGTCTGTAGCATTTCATTGCATCAGCAGGAAATGGACAAAGACACTTGGCCTCCTTAGAAATATGCATGTTTTATCTGAATGTAATTAAAACTTATTTGCACACACCTTCATCTGAGTTCTGTCATTTAATAAAACAATTGTTATTACAAAAATGATCATTAAAAAAGAATCTAAGAAAGTCTGACTAGCTATCACACCTATAAACTGCCTCCATATAAAGTTTTTCATTTTGTATCAATTAATTTGCTTTGTCCCATGTGAGCTACAGCTTGATCCATGACTCATTTGAGCTCCAGATCCTAGAGTACTCATTTATTGACTAGACACAAGGAAAACCGGTGGCCTATAAGATGGCATCATGCTCTGTATTGGGAATAGGAAATGTTCTATCAATATTTGAATGACAGATTCACTACTCTGATTCTCTTTCTTAGGAAGTTAGATATCAGATATGTAGCAAGTCCTATCAGTTCCTCTTTCACAATATTTCCTTTACCAATGCTCTCCTTCCACCCAACTGCCACCATCCTATCCAAACTACCATCATCTCTCTATTGGACTGAGACCATAGCCTACTTACCCAGTCTCTCCATCACCACTGTTGCCCTGTCAAAATCCACTTTCCTTATAGCAGCCAGAGTGTTCTTTTATTTTAAAAGATTTTTTAAAGTCATTTCAATTTTTATTTTAGATTCAAGGGGGTACATGTAGAGATTTGTTACATGGGTGTACTGCATGATGCTGAGTTTTGGGATATGATTGATTCCATTACCCAGGTAATGAGCATAGTACCCAATAGACAGTTATCAGCTCCTGCTCCCTCTCTCTCTCCCCACCAGCAGTCCCCAGCATCTACTGTTTCCATCTTTGTGTACATGTATATCCAATGTTTTGCTCCCACTTATAAGTGAGAACATGTGGTATTTGGTTTTCTGTTTCTGCATTAATTCACTTAGGGTAATTGCCTCCAGCTGCATTCATGTTGCTGCAAAGAACATGATTTCAGTCTCTTTATTGCCGCACAGTATTTAATGGTGTATATGTACCACATTTTCTTTATCCGTACACTGTTGATAGGCATCTAGATTGATTTCTTTGCTATTGTGAATAGTGCTGTGCTGAGCATATGAGTGCATGTGTTTTTTTTTTGTGGAACAATTGGCTTTCCTTTGGGTATATACTGAGTAATGGGAATGCTAAGTCAAAAGGCAGCTAGAGAAAAAGGTCAGATCACTTACAAAGGGAACCATCCGGCTTCTCAGAGTGTTCTTTTTAAAAGTACAGAAGATCGGGTAACTTACCTGATTAAAATTCTTCAATGATTTCTCATTCCTTATAAACTAAAATTCCAACTCTAGCATAAGCTACTTTCTGCCTGCCTCTTTGCATCTCCATTCTCCAACCTCACTCATTGTGCCCCAGATATGCTGACCTCCTTCCTGTTCCTCATGCATGTCAAATTCTCTTCCACCTCAGGTCCTTTGCTATTGCTGTTTCCTATCTCTGGAAACATCTCCTCCCCTTTCCCCCATGTATTACATGGCTGGCTTATTTTACCTTCAGAACTCAGCTCAAATATCTTCTTCAAGAGGTTTTCCTCTAAAGCAGTCGTTCTCAGTCTTCACTGTTTATCAGAATGTCCTAGGAAGCTAATAAAAACTTCAGCTGACTTGATTACTTCCCAACCCTGAGAAGTAATTCAGACTAGGACTCTGGCATCAGTATTAAATCAGAACAAAACAAAACCCTCTACAGGTGGTTGTAATTGCAGCCAAATTTTGAATCAGTGATCTAAAGAAACTCACCATTTTCTTTCTCCATTATATCCACCTTTTAGTGTCCCTTAGTGTGTATCATATTCTATAATCACCTTATTTACTTATCATTTTCATATTGTCTTTTTCTTTGACAAAAATGTCAATTATATGAGAGAAGGGAAATATTCTCCTTATTCACTGCTGTGCCCCTAATGTCCAAAATATAGTAGGTCAATAAAAGAAGGACTGAAGGACCTTTAGGTCAATAGACAAACAAACAAAGAAGTGTTAAGCATCCGAGAAACAATATGGAGAATCTATTAAGTAAAGGGGATACCAAAAGTGAAAGAGAGTAAGTGGTGGAAAGATATGAAGAAACCAGAGAGAAGCTGAATCATGAGAATGAAGAAAAGCATAAACTATGGACAACAACATTTGCTCTTAGGTCATTGGTCTCTTCCAATGAAACCTGAACGTCCAAAGGCTAAAATTGAGTCCTTTTTTGTGAGTCCTTAAGATGTCCTACATTATCTCAGTTTTATGCAAACTCAGTTCCATGCAAAACCATGCTCAGCTCCATGCAAACCGCTTTGCTGACACATTGAGATTAAGACTATTTCATTACTGAATTTTAGCATAGAGAAGCCTTACCTTAGACACAGAGGCTTTCTCTTTTTTATTCAAACCATTTTTAATAGAAACCTTTTTACAGATATGCTAATTTACTTACATTCTTCAAAAGGATATGCTAAAGCATATTTCACATTATCTTGGTAACTCCAGGATTTTTGAGAGTCAAATATTTCATTATCTTATATTACCCTGGTATTTTTAAGAAATTTTAAAACATAGACCACTATTATAAAAGTCTTCAGACCACAGGACATTTATAGTTCTCAACTTTTTTCTCTTTTTTATGTTTTAAGTTTTCTTTTTTATGTCTATAGGAACTCTACTTTTACTAGCATGTTCCCATTTCTTTTTTTTTTTTTTTTTTTTTTTTTCCGAGATGGAGTCTCACTCTGTCGCCCAGGCTGGAGTGCAGTGGCGCAATCTCAGCTCACTGCAAGATCTGCCTCCCAGGTTCACTCCATTCTCCTGCCTCAGCCTCCTGAGTAGCTGGGACTACAGGCGCCTGCCACCACACCCGGCTAATTTTTTGTATTTTTAGTAGAGACGGGGTTTCACCGTATTAGCCAGGATGGTCTCTATCTCCTGACCTCGTGATCCGCCCGCCTCAGCCTCCCAAAGTGCTGGGATTACAGGCATGAGCCACCGCGCCTGGCCCATGTTCCCACTTCTTAATCATGCTTTTATTAAGCTGTGAGCTTTTAAAGTTAATTACATACTTTTTAAAACAAACACAAATAGTGATTCCCAATTTTACCTAAAATTGTAATCCCCTGGAGAGTTTTATAATCTACCTATGTCTGCCCTTCTTCAGCCCCTAGAATTTATCATTTAAACGCCCAAGGTGTGGACAGGGCACTAGTTGTTATTAGTGGTTTTTTTTTAAAATTTTATACTTTTTTTATCCCCAGGTGATTCTAATATGTACCTCGTGCTAAAATGCACAGAGGTTTAGCAAAGAATAAATTTGGAATTATCCAGAAGTTTTCCCTATTTTTAGGGATAATGTTCAAGTAGCCTTGACTCTTTCCTTAATTCAGTCTCTCCTTAGTATCCCTCACTTGATTACTGCTGCCTCTGCCAATACTCAGCCTCTAAGATTATAAAGCTTTCATTTACGATTCCACCCCAAGAACAGACAAACTCCATTAACTTTGTTCTCTTTAAGCTCAAGAATATTAGAGTTGAAAGGGCTCTTCACAAATAATCTAATCCAACTCTCCTCTATTTAGAGATGAGAGATTTGAGACAGGGAAGTAGTGTGCCTGAGGTCCAGTAAACTAGTTCCCAGAAGAGATGGCACTACAAATTCTCCATCCATTGACAATTACAATACTGTCCCTGTGGAAAAGTGGTGCTATAAAGTCAGTAAGAGTACGTGTTTAACAAACTGTCTTAGTCAAGGTGCTTTTAGAGTACAAAAAGAAAAACCCATTCAACCTAGCAAAAAATCACAGAGAGAAACTTAAAAAGTATCAGTAGTATCTTGCAGATCTCCAGTCAGGAGGCATTAGGAATTGGAACCAGCAATTGGAAAAGCACTGGGGGCCCAGTTCGTCTGTGTGTATGTGTGTGTGTCTATCTCCATGCTACTTTCTCAGCTTTACCTTGCACCTAAAGGTAAATGACTGGCACCCCTGCTCCTGCAAATAAATGTCAGTTTCTGAAACTAATGAATCCAACAAATACCTCTGTCTCCATTTCAAAGTTTTGGGAGCAGGGACCTGATCAGCCCTTTGGTCAGGTGTCCACTCATTCTCCTCCCAAAAATGAGCAGGGAGCAAAGTCATGTTGTAGAAATATGGGTACAGGCTTATGTTACCATTGGGGAGAGTTCTGGAGAGACATTCTCAGAAGTGGGTCATGTACAATCCTAAACAATGATCTTACCCTCACTTAGTAAGACAATTAAACTTCTGAAATTTGCATAACGAAAAGCTTACCGGTTTGTCTTTGACCTATATTATATCATGAGATTAATAGCTTCATTAATTAGGAGTTCCTGGCCAGTCCCATATTGAAAGCTACATTCCAGAAACATTAATTTTTAAAATTACTCTCAGGTGATTTAAAGGAATTAAATAAATATCTCAAAGCTCAATGAATCAAATATGCAATCATAGAGAAAGCGTTTGCACGTGCATGTTTAGACAGGTGGCAGAACTTAGTGACAACACAGCAGAATAAGGAGCCCACCCTCTCTTCTTCCACCAGCCTCACTGGGAAATGTCACCCAGTGAAATTGGTTCAGATAGAATAGTGATTCCCAATAGTGGTCTCTGGACCAGCAGCATCACTATCACCTGGGAACTTATAGAAACAAGTCCTGAAGCTCCAGCTGAGATCTACAGAATCAGAAACTCTGGGGGTGAGGCCCAAAAATCTGTATTTTAAACAGCCCTCCAGTTGATTCTGATATAGTCTAAGCTTTGGAAACCACTACAATAGAAAGCTACTGAGATTGGGGCCACTGCTTTGACTTGGAATAAGCTGGTTATCTGTCCACAGAGTGGCAAGGTGAAGAAAATGAGCATAGAATAGACTATGGAAAAACCTAGCTTTGTCCTGGAATTGTCTTCGCTAGAAGAATGGCCTTGATCAAGTCACCTAGCCTGTCTAACCCTTAGTGTTTTTCATCTTTAAAATAGAAAATAAGGAAAATGACTTAAGTTTTTGAAAATCAAATTTAGAATAATGTGTGATAGCTTTTTCATCAGAATGTTTAAATTAATCGCACTAGAATTTTCGTAGCCATAGTCTACACCTATCCCCAGTACTGAAGAAGAAAAGCAGAATTCAGTTTCACAGTAAAGGGGAATTTTAACAAGCCCGACATACCTGCATATATATATCATATATAACAGTGTGTGGAAACTATTTGCTGTAACAGCTGACTGTAAGGCTAACTTTGTAATATTGATTAAAAATCCCTTCTAAAACTCCTTAAGAAACATCCACAGATATGGGTACAATTGATCCCCACAGATTCTATATTTGCAAATTTGCCTACACATTAAATTTATTTGTAACCACCATAGCAATACAGAGATTTTGTGGTCATTCACATGCATGTGATGAGCTGAAAAAAATTTGAGTTGCTTGACACATACATTCCCAACTGAGGTCAAATAAAGTAACACTCTTCCTTCTTGTTTAAACTCTCTGTTGGTGATTTTGCCCTTTTAAATGGCCCCTAAGCGTAGGCTGAATGCTGTCTAGTATTACTAAGTGCAGAAAGATATGATGTGTTTTATTGAGAAAATACATGTGTTAGATGAATTAGGCATGAGTTGCCACACTGTTAGCCATGAGTTTAATGTTAATGAATCAACAATGTATATTCAAGAAGTTGTCTTCAAACAGAAACACACATAAAACAAAGTTATGTATTGATTGTATGACAAAAATATTATAATCAAAGACATGCAGGAACCTGATCCTGTTTTTCTGCTAGGAGTGCTGGTTCAGTATTCACTAATTAAATGCTCACAGTGACTTTATAGAATATAACTACTGCAAATAACAAGAATTGTCCATATTTTTAAAGTCTAAAGCCAAGAGGAGCATAAAATCAAAGCTTACCAAACAAGCCTTTGGCAGCTGGAAGGTTTTGAGGACAGTAAAAATATATATAGATATTTTTAAACTATATATATATATGTGTGTGTGTGTGTGTGTGTGTGTGTGTGTGTGTTATATTGGTACAAATATATATATAATCCTAATATATCTCCCAACATGTACTGGGGGAAAGATGATACAAATACAATCTTTCAAGAATTATTAAAGAAAGGATTCTTGCTGAAGGTAGAAAGGCTTATCAAGTTTAAGATTATATTATGATGCTTATTTTTAAACTGTCTTAAACTTCCTAGTTGATTTACATATGTAAATATATTGAATGAATCACGTATTTGCCAAGGTAAACTAAAATTAGCTTATTTATGTTCATTTTACCATAGGATATAAATACTAGATTGAATTTAAAATGCATAATGCTTTCTGCCAATAAACATCAGCACATTCTGCCAGATGCTTATCACCAAGACAGATTTAGTATCAGACTCAGAATCTGTGATTACTATTAAATAGTTCTCATAAATATAATTAGAATCATCTTTGTGTTTAGATAGTTTACTTACTATACTTTAAAGTATTCTATATAGTATTTTGGATATTTTTGAATATCTACATTATCAGAAATGGAAAAGGTTTATAATTTTCAATTAGTTGACTAATTATGTAACAAATATTTATTGAATGCCTATCATGTGCCAGGCACTGTACTAGATATTAAATATACAGTGGAAAATAAGATAAACACATCCTTGTGCTCAGAGAGCTCGCAGGCCAGGAAAAAAGGACAGTCTCGGAACAAAGGCAAGGCTGACCATCCCCCAGGAGGAAAGTATTTTTTCTGCCTGACTGTTTTTGAACTGGGACATCAGCTTCTTTCCTGCCATCAGGCTTGAACTGAAACATCAGTTCTTTCTAGGTCTCAAACCTATCAGCCATTGAATGAGAACCACATCATGAGCTCTCCTGGCTCCCAGGCCTTCAGACTTAGATTGAAAGTAACCATCAGCTCTCCTTGGTCTACAGCTTTGCCAACTCACACTGTAGATCTTGGAACTTGCCTATCCCCATAATTGTATGAGCCAATTTCTTATAATAGATCTGTTTATCTATATATACGTCTGATTGGTTCAGCTTCTCTTGAGATCCCTAATACAAAGAAGGTATTAAAATTATACAGATAATGGTGATAAAGGGAGAAAGTTCTAGAAAGAAAGAAGAGCTGGTAGAAAGACCTGGAGGAAAAGGAGCTAGCCTCTTAGAAGAACTGAAATAAAATTTACAACAGCAAACACTTTCTTAGCACTTCTTGTATGTCAGACTTGTTCTAAGATCTTTTCATATGTTTTCTCATCTAATCCTCACAACCACCCCATGAATAGGTTCGGTTATTATTCCAAAGAGCAGATGAAAACATTGAGGCACAGAAAGGTTGAGTCACTTGCTTAAGATCAGGCCTACAGAACAGAAAGAACTGAGTTCCACAGTGAGGCCTTCTGTTTTCAGAAAGGCCTTCACTCCTCCTTAGGACTGGTGAGAAGAGTAAGTAAATGGTAAGGAGAAATACCAGATCACAGACAACCTGAAAGCCCTGTTAAGCAAATTCAAGCTTTTTCTTACAATAAGAGCAAGAACCAGAGGAAGGTTTAAAGCACAGGATTGACTAGATTTGATTTTTGTTTTAAAAAAGATATGAAATAATTGCAGGGAAGAAAATAGAACAACAGAAAACAAGACAAGTGAGTTTTGCTTTGATACAAGATTTGTCCTTCAACCGCTTTACCTGAGCACCTAAGAACAGTTTAGTCACTCCAGAAAATACGAAAAGAAAAACTCCAAACAATATAAACACCTTTAAGAAAATCTCTTCTCAACTGGATAATCATGAACCTATTCCCTTCAGTTATCTTGTCATCTTGTCCCAATAATGTTCAGAAAGGTTCCTGGCCACTTAAAAGAGCAAAGATGGGAAAATGAAGTATGAAGGTGCATGGAGAGGGCAAGACATCTGCAGGAGGGTGGCAGGGAACTCCTTGGGCTAAGGAGTCTCAGTGGTCAGGCAGCTGATCAGCCGATGATGAGGGACAAAGTAGATGGTGAGAGGTGGAAAGGAGAGAAAGGAGATCAAAAAATGAAATTGTAGTGTAAATATGATAAACCATTTTTACAAATGTGATAAGCCAATCAAAACCAATCTCTTACTGAAAATTTAAAAATTACCATGTCACTATTGTCTAAGCTGACCCAGAAAGTGTTTTGAAGGCCACACATGTAGCATTGGGCCACTTGGAATAATAATTTGCCAAGGAAAAGTTTAGCTTCTTAGATTCAGAATATAAAGATTGAGCACAGGAAATCAAATAGTGGGTTGAGGCCAAATTTTGCGTGAGCATGAAAGTACAAACTATTAAAAGCTGAAAAGATATATATATTTTTAAATGCATAAAGGATTATCCAATTCAATAAATTCTCCATATGTAATGATATCGAATGCTCTATTATGAAGAAAACCAAAATAACCAGTTCTAGTCTTAGAATCCCTTTATGTCTCAGATTCTTGAATCCACAACAAAGGCTTTCCTTAGCAGAGACTATCACAGTAAATATTCCTCTAGGCTGCTTCCAGCTTTGTTTTCCTTTTAAGAGCTGCTAGTTAAATAACACTGATAAAAGCAAAAAAAAAAAATCTTAAGATGCTAACTTGATTGATAGCAATGCTTCTTAAGTGATGACATCTGTTTGACATCTCAGATTTCCCAAAAAGCATACTTGTGAGGACATTTGGTAGCCTTTTCTATACAGGAAAGACAAGATTCTGAAGGTTGTCACTAACTGCCCCATGGAGACATGTCAGAGCTTGGATTGAGCTTCTCTTAACGGTCCTACTCATATAAGCACAGAATTTTAGAGTTCATTTCGTTTAATGCCCTCATGTTCCTGGGGTGTCTATTACCAGTTGTATTTACCAAAGTGCATGTGTAGATCTTTGTAATTTTTCAACAACTTATTGACAGAAAGAATCACAAAGGTGCTGAGCTCAGACTCACACCTCTGAGGAACTTTACTTTGGATTTTAGCCTATGTTTTAAACCTCATGAAACTTTATGCATAGGCAAAGAACACAGGCCCCAAGTAAAGCAGTCTAGTCATCAAGCATATGTCTCATTTAAAACATGTTCTTTGAGCCAAAGCAAGAGTTTCTTATTTGTTAAGTGTGTTTTTCCAAGGCAGTATGAGACTTGACTTTAAAATTTACTCAAATAAGCATGTGTGTGTGCGTGTGTACTTTATTTTTAATTCCAAATTCCATTTTTGTTTCAAATGTATATTTTTGCATAATTTTCAATTGTTCTGCATGAATTAAAATTTGCTAGTTTTCTTTCTGTTTTTGCTATTATTCTAATCATTTTCGGACTAGCACTGTCGTGTAAAAGAGATTTTATTTTATTTTTCCCTCTACCCTGGATCTGAACTTCCAAAGTTTTTAATTTAGAGTTTGAGCCAGTAATTGATTATTCAATAGGGAAGATGTGTCACCAAAATATTAATTATAGATCACATAGACTTGTGTGAATCTCTCAGGATATGGTATCAAAGGAAGCTAAGTGGGGAAAATTCTTGTTTCTGG
This sequence comes from Homo sapiens, assembly GCF_000001405.40. Taxonomy (NCBI): domain Eukaryota; kingdom Metazoa; phylum Chordata; class Mammalia; order Primates; family Hominidae; genus Homo; species Homo sapiens. Next base: position 11,717 of record NW_003315913.1, on the reverse strand, counting down.
TAAAGTCATCAAAACCTTTGATCAACACCAGTTTGTTTCTTTTTTTTTTTTTCCTGTCTACAAAGTTTGACTTGAATAAGATTTCTTTCCTTGACATAATACTTTCAAGAATTGTTTTATTTTTAAAACAGAATCTTAACCCAAAAGAAGAATGAGCCAAGAACATGAACAGACAATTCAAAGAAAAGGAAATGACCTTTAAACATATGAAACAATGTCCAACTTCAGGCAATAAGAGAAATGCACTTATTAAGACTACAAGAAAATGCCTTATTTTTTCATCTATCAGTCTTGCAAAGATTTGAAAGTTGACTATTATATCATTTTGACAAAAAGGTAAGAAAATATACACTATAATACATAATTGGTGATGTTATAAATTGATTTAAATTTTGGAGGTCAATTCGACAATATTTTCAAAGTTAAAATACACAAATGCCCTGCACTGAAATTTTACTTCTAGAAATTTTTCTTGAAGAAATCCTATAACAAATGCATAAAAATGTAGGTATACTGTTATTTTTTGCAGCAGCCATGCATTGGACTACTCCACAGCTTTTAATAAGAATAAGAAAAAGCTATAGAAAGTGATATGAAAGTAACTGCAAATCATATTAATTGACTAAGGGAATATACAGTATAGTTTGCAGAGTACATTACTTTGTGAATTACAAAAATAATACGTGTAGACATGAAGTATAAGAAACTGGCAAAATAATTTGCCTCTGGAGAGAATTGGTAAGCAGGACTAGGAGACCAAAGTGAAATGGAAATTCACTTTTTACTGTGTATCTTTTTATACTGTTGAGATTTTTTTCAAACCATCTGCACTATTACTTATCTTCTTAAAAATAACATTTTAAAATGAAAGAGTAAGAAATTGTGTTTTAGCTACCTGAAAATGAGTAAAAAATGCCAATATGAATGAACTTTAAAACTTTAAACCTGATAAAAATAGAAAACAAAAATGCATTTACAATGCATTAATGTTATTGATCTTAAGTTACAACTTCATGATACTACAATTAACTGAAAATGATACAGACAACTTACTACTTTGTCCACATAGCAAAAACACATTTATTACACTCCTGCATTCTCCAAACCAATCAATACATATCCAGCCCATTAATATCCTTGGACAGCCACTCATACTTGGATGGTTCTATTTGATCTGTTTCCAACTTTCCCATGCTGTCCTAATCATCTTTCATTTAGACCAGAGGTGGGCCAGCTTATTCTGTAAAGAGTCAGGTAGTAACTATTTTAGGCTTTGAGGGCCATGAGGCAAAATCAAACTTATTATCTATGTGTTTATATTTAAAAAAAATACAAATATCCACATTCTTTAATTGACAAAATTTAAAATGCAATAATAATTGAGAAAAAAATGTCTACTAACAAGAAGAATTATTTTGTCAGAAGGAATATTTTGCTTAATTAGTGTTTAAAGTTCGATTTTCCTATCATTAAGTCCATTGAAAATTTGTAAAAGCTTTTATCTTCTGGGTCCACAAAAAAGACGCAATAAAGTCAAATGTGGCCCATGGGCTGTAATTTTCCACCCCTGATTTCAAGACCAGTATCCTCCCCACCTTCTTGCCTCTGTTATCTTGACAACCAAATCCATTCTGCCTCAAAGATATTGCTAAGCTCTAATGTTACCAGTCACTCCCCTGCTTAAGGTTTCCTGCAAAAAATTTTTATTGCTTAGACTAGAGAATAAAAGCTAGGCTCCTTAACCCGCAGGCCAGTTCCTCCTAGTGTGGTGCTGGCCTATCCTCAGCCTCCTTTCCCTCCTCTCCAACCCTCAGCCCCGCCCACCCCAGACGCACAGGCACTTTTTGCTCTAACAACTCTGAACAACTTCTTGACACACCACAAGCTGTTTTACCCCCTTATAGCTGCTGCTGCCCTTTCCTGGAGCCCTTCCCTTCCTTTTCCACTCGACGGCTCCCAGCCAGCCAGCAAACTGCTCAGCACTCATCCCTTCTGAGAAGCCTGGCTGCTTCTCCACACACCCTATCCACATGGAATCACCATTTCACCACTTCTCTCAGCACTTCTATTCTTGAATGGATAACATTTGATTATATTTACTACCATTGGAAGTCTGTTGCCTTTCTTGTATCTAGTTCCTCTTTCCCTGGCCCCTAGAATATGCCTGGAACACAGTAGGAACTCACTTATTGTTAAGCTAAACTTTTTCAATTAAATGGCAGCTTTGATGTTAAATACAAATGAGCCCATCACCCACTCACTAGATACCTATGGTATTAACAATGTCCCAAACTTGTACAGTTGGCACTCCGTATCTGTGGGTTCCACATTCGTGGATTCAACCAACTGAAGATCAAAAATATTTTAAAAAAAATAGATGGTTGTGTCTATACTGAATGTACACATATTTTTCCCTTGTCATTATTCCCTAAATACTGTGTAACAACAATTTACATAGCATTTACCTTGTATTAGGTATTGTAAACTATCTAGAGGTTATTTAAAGTACATGGGATGATGTACATAGATTATATGCAAATGTTATACCATTCTATATAACAGCCTTGAGTATCCATGGATTTTGGTATCCTCAGAGGGTTCTGGAACCAATCCCCCATGGATACTCACAGATGACTGCATTTGGGGGTCAAATAATTAAGCAAACATTTCAGTACTACCATATTTCAATCATATTCAAACAATCAAGAGTTTTCTCTTTTGTCTGAGATGCTTAGACTTTTGGAAGCACAATTATAGCTAAAGGCTAAAACTTGCTCACAAACATTGCCCAAAGGCCAGCTCTTCTTGATGAGAATTTGCTCATACAGATGTACATACAATATTTGCAGGAAAAGTTGGCTTAAGTATCCCAACACTGGTATACAATCCACTACAAACCCAGGGCAGGAATAGGGGATGGCGGTGGGGGGAAGAAGCAAAAAAATGAATATTTTTCAAGTACTGAAGTATTCACACACACACACACACACACACACACACACACACACACACCAGTACTCATTTGTGCAGGTAACATTTCTGTTATTGCTATTGCTCTCTCCATGGGTTCCAGGAAGAATTTTCCACCAAAATATTTCAATTTGTGCCTCCACAAACTAAACAACTCTGTGTTGTGTAGGGTTGTTGTTGTGTTTTTTTTTTTTTTAGACAGAGTCTTGCTCCTGTCACCCAGGCTGGAGGGCAGTGGTGCGACCTCGGCTCACTGCAACCTCCGCCTCCCGGGTTCAAGGGATTCTTCTGCCTCAGCCTCCTGAGTAGCTGGGATTACAGGTGCCTGCCACCACACCTGGCTAATTTTTGTACTTTTAGTAGAGACGAGGTTTCACCATATTGGCCAGGCTGGTCTTGAACTCCTGACCTCAGGTGATCCACCCGCCTCAGCCTCCCAAAGTGCTGGGATTACAGGCGTGGGCCACCTCAAGCAGCCTGTGTTGTGTAGTTTTTAGGACTGGAGCATGCCAGGGTATTTCCCTTCATTTATGGGTTTCTATGTGCCAACCTAAAATAAAAGAGCACACCATTAAAGTTTCTATGTGAGTGTATTTTTGATGATGACTGTTAGGTAATTCTATGGCTTTTGCCAAAACCAGGCCTTATGCCAGGGATGTTCTTCTTCCTCATCTTTATTTACTTATCCTCCAGCTCTCTGGGCTTCCTCAGAAAAGCTGGCTCTGATCTCATCCCAGAGCAACCAAGCCCCTTTTTAGTGCTGTTCTAGCTCTCTATATTTGTCCTTCGTAGCACTAACCAAAGTTCATGATTAGACATTTGGGTGATTATTTAATCAATGTGTGTTATTCATAAGACCCGTGAAGTAGAATCTGTGTCCATTTCCTCACTGTGTCCACAACACCTACACAGTGCCTAAAGATGCATGCTCTGAAATACTGTCGAACACTTGTAGAGTGAGGTCAATGGTTCATTTGGTACTACTTCACTATTCTGAAGTAGTTTATATCTGAGACAATCGTGTGTTTGGAGGATAGAATTAACATCATAAAGGAACTGTGGAAACTGCCAGCTTCAATCTATTTATTTACTGAAAAAAAAAAACCCCGGAAACTCAGAGAAGTTACACAACTTGCCTGGAGTCTCATAGGAACTACTGGCAGAGTGTGGAAGGCCCATCTCCACCATTCAGTTAGTGGCAGCTCGCCATACCATTTACCTTTCTGTGAGGTCTCAAACCTTGCTTGCGATTTCAAACTCCCACCACGACTTTGGCTAGCATATCATAGCTTTGGCTCAATATGACACCTAATAACATCCATTTAGTTTACATGCTCACCCATCATCTTAGTGCCCATTTCTCAGTGACCTAATTTCAGTTCTGGTGAGGGAGAGAAAACCTGACCAGCATAAATTGGGCCCATTGTTCAATGCTGGTCTAGGTAACTGGGACCTAAGGAAGGAGTGCATTACAAGATACCTTAGGGATTGGGAATAGAAAGAAGGCGTCTCTAAGACGCTGGTGTCAGGGAAGATGTAGATACACAAGATACACATAGGCAATTGTAGCAAGGCCAAAGCGCATAAGAACATGCATAGAAAACACATACACAATACACACACACACACACACATAAACACCATAATATCTTTGTTTTGAATTCACTAGAATGGACTTCCTTATATGGAAAGCATTTTTGGTTTGTCATTTTGCCTTTTGTTTTGTTTATCCTTTGTCAAGCATGCAAATAAACATTTAAAAATACATTATGTCTGACGCATCTAATTATAAACAAACTTTATAGGAAGCATCTCACACAGGGTCTCCTAGGCATCTAGTAAATGGGCATTCAGTGATATGCCTGCTCCCATGAAAACATTGTTTTGTCTATTGCTTTATGTTACTGTTTTTAAAAATTTACAATAGTGACAGTAGCAATCTAATTGTCACCCATGGCTCAGCAAAGCCCATTGAACCATTCATATGACCACATTTGGCTTTTTGGTTTTTGTCTTTTCAAAAATTACATATATTTAAGGTATATGTGATTTTTTAATACATTTGTACATAGTGAAATGGTAACAACAGTCAAGAAAATTAACACACCCATCATCTCAAATAGCTACCCTCTTTTGTGTGTGTGTGTGGTAAGAGCACCTAAAATCTACTCTCAGTAAATTTCTAATATACAATACAATACAATATTATTAACTGTATTCCTCATGTTGTACATTGGATCTCTAGACTTATTCATTCCACTACGTAACTGCAACTTTGTACCCTTTAATCTATTTCTTTCCATTTCCTCCTCCTTCTCCTTCTCCTTCCCCTAGTAACCACCTTTCTATTCTCTGTTTCTATGTACTTCACCTTTTTTTTTTTTTTCAGATTCCAGATATCAGTGAGATCACTCAGTATATTTTCTTCTGTTTCTGGGGCTAATTTCACTTAGCATAATGTCCTCCATGTTCATTCATGTTGTCACGAATGACAGGATTTCCTTCTTTCTTAAGGCCAAATAAGATTCCATTATATTTATGTATATAATATATAGATCATTTTTATTCTATAATAGAATATAATAATATATTAGAGTATTGATGCTATTATAAATATATAATATTATATAACACTATATTATTCCATTATGTTATGTATGTGAAATATATGATATATTTTAATTTTAAGAATGTTTGGTCTATACCACATTTTCTTTATCCAGTCAGCCATCAATGGACACTTAGGTTGCTTTCATGTCTTGGCTATTGTGAATAATATTGCAGTGAGCAGGGTGGTAGTGAAGATATCTCTGTGGGGGGCTGATTTCATTTCCCTTGGGTATATACCCAGAAGAGGGGGATTACTGGGTCATTCGGTAGTTCTATTTCTAATTTTTTGAGTAACCTCCATACTGTTTTCCATAATGTCCGTACTAATTTACAGTCCTACCAACAGTGTGCAAGGATTCCTATTTATCCACACCCTTGCCAACAATTGTTATCCATTGTCTTTTTTATAATAACCATTCTAACAGGTGTGAGGCGTTATCTCATTGTGGTTTTGATTTGCATTTCTCTGATGATTACTGATGTTGAGTACATTTTCATATACCTAGTGGTCATTTTTATGTCTTTTTAAGAGAAATGTCTGTTTAGGTCCTTGTCGTTCTGCTTGTTTATTTTTGCTTAAAAAATCTTTATTGGTACATAATAATTGTACATCTTTTGGGGGTATATGCAATACTTTGATAAATGAGTACAATGTGTAATGATCAAATCAGGGTATTTAGGATATCACCTGGAATGTTCATCATTTCTTTGTGTTGGGAATATTTTAAAATCTTCTCTTTTAGCTATTTTGAAATATTCAATATATTGTTGTTAACTATAGTCACCCTACTATGCTACTAAAACTCAAATTTGGTAGACATGTTACACAGTTCTATAGTTTATCATACATTCTAAGAGTTGATAAAAAAAAAAAAAAAAAGGGCCGGGCGCGGTGGCTCAAGCCTGTAATCCCCAGCACTTTGGGAGGCCGAGGCAGGCGGATCACGAGGTCAGGAGATAGAGACCACGGTGAAACCCCGTCTCTACTAAAAGTACAAAAAATTAGCTGGGCGTGGTGGCGGGTGCCTGTAGTCCCAGCTACTCAGGAAGCTGAGGCAGGAGAATGGCGTGAACCCGGGAGGCGGAGCTTGCAGTGAGCCAAGATTGCGCCACTGCACTCCAGCCTGGGCGACAGAGCAAGACTCCGTCTAAAAAAAAAAAAAAAAAAAAAGCAGTTTTTATTCAGTTACATAATGGAATCTTTATTCACAGCTCTCTTAAAAAAAAAATCTCTGCTGCTATTACATTCACAGACAGTATCTCCCATAGCTCAGCCATTAAGACTTAAACTTTGAATCTGGGCACATTTCTTGGAATTTGGAGTTCCAGGACAAGGCTTCCAAAGAGTGTTATTAATGATGAGTCAGTTTTAAATGTGTGGTACAGACCACATAGAAACTACTTGAATTTAACTACTGGAAAGAGCTGAAACCCAGAGCAGACCAGAGGCAAAATGTAGCTGAGGCAGCTTAAGTTACACCTGTGGTCAAACAGTCTCTTCTGATCTGCCGTATTCATTCCCTCAGCCCATTCCTCAATCTTTTTTTCTGAGATGAAATCCTAACCAGAATTTATATTTGTTTCTCATATTATCATTTTTCATGAAAGTTTGTGCAGTCTTTCCCTTTTCTCTCAAAATCCCCTACAATAAAATCAAATTTATTAAAAAAAGGTTTTCTTAGTCACAGCTCTTAATTTTGAGTTGCCTTTTCTGTCAGGAATCTCCCTAATGCTAGTTCTTTCTGAGATTTAATGGCCAAAACACTCAACATTTCAAAATCTTTTTCTCTATCAGTACTGTATTATCTACTTTTGCTATTTTTTTCTTTGTCTTCCTCCTTCCTAAATGGTCCCTAATACTTTTCTTTTTCAAATATTTGTCAGAAATATGCCTTTGTCTTCAGAAAAAATCTTTTTTCTGATGACTTTTCATTTTTACATAGGTACAACCATTGGTGAAATATCCCAAAAACCCGAAGTCTTAAACAACATGGTAATCAAAAGAAAAAAAAAAAGACATAATTTGCCATGCATAAATGGTGGTAGCAGCCTCTACCTATCTCACAGAAAGCCATCATGAGGTTAATTAGAAGCCAGGCATGGTGGCTTATGCCTGTAATCCCAGCACTTTGGGAGGTGAAGGCAGGATGATCGCTTGCGCTCAGGAGTTTGGACCAGCCTGGGCAACATGGTGAAACCTCGTCTCTACAAAAAATACAAAAATTAGCCAGGTATGGTTGTCTGTGCCTGTGTTCCCAGCTACTCAGAAGGCTGAGGTGGGAGAATCAAGGCTGCAGTGAGCTATCATCATGTCCCTACACTCTAGCCTGGATGTCAGCGCGAGCACCTGTCTTAAAAGGAAAAAATTAAAAAATAATTAATTAGAACCATTTTTTACATGCTAATTGTTATACTTAGGTTTAATTAATAAAATGTTGACAGAGTGTTTAAACGTCTGTCAAATTGACTAATGGAACCAAAGCAGTTATGTGCTACTGATTATAAACAAGATTTCAGATTTGTTCAAGTATATATCTGAGAAATGTATTTACATAAAATACATTTCTTTGTAATTCTTTTCACTTAAATATATGATAAATATTGCAATACCCAAACATTATATTAAGTTTAGATGTGACTATTTCATGATAATTGTTCTTTCAAAGCACTGCATTACACAGTATGTAGACTAGTCAACAGTAATGATAATAGTGTCACTGAGAGCACTTAAAATGTGCACAACATTGTTTCTAAGTACTTTAAATTTATAGGTCTCTCATAATATTATAAGTCTCCCTAGATATATCAATAATTCAAGGTTTTGAGCACTCTTTACCCAAACCAATTCTCAGGGTTGTATTTGCAGTAGGTAACCCTGGGGAATGAGGTGATATCTCCCATTGAGACAAAGAGCAGACCTGCATACTGCCTGCTGTAAAAGAGGTGGATTCCCCAACTCAGGGTCCCTTGACTGCAACACTAATTTACCAAGTGCATAATAGCTATCTGGATCCTCTGAATCATCCCCCTAGAACTTGGAGGACAAGGGAACTGATGCAAACCTGATGCACATGCTGCCTGCTGTGCCTTCAACAACAAAGTCCTTTGTCTCTGTCAGGAGCTTTCCATGAAACAATAAGGGTCTAATTTGCCAACATCCATGAAATAGTAAAGGTCTTATTTAGCTTATAAGTAAGGTGAAATCAAATCCCAGCCCCTTACATGTGTGTGTGCGTTTGTATGTGGAGTGTGTGTGTGTGTGTGTGTGTGTGTGTGTGTGTATTAATCTCAAAACAATAAACACTTCTCTAACCCCCTTTTAATAGGTAAGGAAACTGAGGCAAGAAAAAAAGTTCTGTCATTGACCCAAAGTCATACAACTGGTAAAATTTTGAGCCAAGATTTGAACCTAGTAGTCTCCAGAGTTCATGCTTTTAACCACTATACTTTGTTACTACTTCAGGAGACATATAATTTCATTAAAAAATATTTTTAAAGACTCAATTCCTTCTTTTGATGGTACAAACTGCATTTAAAATTTGCTAAATTTTTGTCTTTATTAAAACATCATTCCCAGTGTAATAAAACATAATAGCACATTTATGCAAGCTAAAAAAAGAGAAAGATGTGTTTTTATTTGCCAAAATATTTCCAGGATTTTTGCATCTTTCATAAAACAGTCTAAACAAAAAAGAATAATGCACAGCAAAATTCTTCCTCTTTCCAGGACTTCATAGCCAATCTTATATATTTTTCCAGGCCAGGCTTAAGTGCCATTTCTCCAGCAAGCCTTCCCTAAAGAGCTAAATATTATCTCTCCAACCTATTTAGCATTTTTTCTCTAGAAGGAACTTTGCACTTTAGCCCTTGCATTCTTCTTATCCAGGTGTAGTTCAACTCCCACTTCTAGATCGTTAACTCCCTAAAGGTAATTTCTATTTATGATTCCCTTTTTCTCCTTCACAACTTTCAGCATGGTGCCTTGCAACTAGTAATAAGTACTAGTTAAAGATAGTTAAGGAACTATCTTTAGTATCTGGTAAATATATATATAATATATATATTTATATATTTTTATATAAATATATTATATATTTATATTTATATATTTTTTATATATGTAAAATAATTATAATCATCAAATACAACAAAATTTTAATGCTTTTTACAAAGAATATTTGTAGCATACTAAGATGTTTATATTTTTGAATCTCTACTCTGGTTGCCTAATAGCAGAATTAATGTTTTCCCACTTTTTTTCCTATTGCATAAATAAATTATAGAAAAAAATACAGAAATATTGCATATTTCTTGATGCATTATGCCAACATGTATCTTTTCTTTTAGCCGAATGTTCTGACATTTTGGGAATGAGAAATGTGCATTTGCATCATGTTTTCCCATCCAACAGTACATGATGGCCATCACAAGGCAGATTCATTTCACATCTCTTCCACCATTAGAATCTACACGTAGCCTCCCTTTCTCCAGTTCACTCCTCTCTCTAATCCATTCTGCTACCAGATCAACTTTCCTAATGTCTTTTCCCTACACCATCACTGTACTCAAAAACCTTCAGTGACTTGCCATTGATCATAATATAAATTAGAGCTCCCTAGCCAAGCACCCAAATCTAAATTTACCACAATATTCTTAGTGATCCCTATTGCTTACTTCTTCTTTATATGAAAACGTTACTTCAGTCAAATTTATCTGCTTTCTATCTCACACATATATGTTGCATTACCCTCCTTCTGTTTCTGTCCATGGGATGAAATAGTTTCTTTTCTACACATCTAAATCTTACCCATTCTTTAAGATCAAAATCTGAGCCATCTCTGCATGATGCTTTTCCTAACACCTTGGTCATGAATACTGCCTCCACTCTCACATTTTTTTCCTGTGCAACCATGGTAAATTTATCTTACTCCATGTCATCTTTTTTACTTGAGGTATTATTGTGATATATATCAAAATGTTTGCACTCCACTAAATGTTATCTTTAACAGATTTTCATCAGGGACCATTCCAATAATGCTTGCATTGTTTGAAATATTTCAAGGGCTCTTCCTCTGGTAATCAAAACACCAGCTGCACTATAAAGTCATCCATTTTATTTTATAATCTTTTCTTGTTTTCATTTTTTTTTAAATTACTCAACTTGGCTGGGCACGGTGGCTCATGCCTTTAATCCCAGCACTTTGGAAGGCTAAGGCAGAAGATTGCTTGAGCTCAGGAGTTTAAGAACAGCCTGGGCAATATAGCAAGAACCTGTCTCTACAAAAAATTTTTTAAAATTAGCCAAATGTGGTGGCACGCGTCTGTAGTCACAGCTACTTGGGAGGCTGAGATAGGAGGATCACTTGAGCCCAGAAGATAGAGGCTGCAGTGAGCCATGACTGCACCACTGCACTCCAGCCTGGGCCATAGAGTGAGACTCTAAAGAAAACAAAACCTAAAAAATAAAAAAATACCCAACTTGATCATTCACTCTTTTTCCCAAAACCAGTTTCCAATAATTTTTTATTTTATTCTTAAAAAAAAAGTAAACTCTTTCTTTCAAAGGGCAAAAGTTGGTCACCACTGAAGACATTCTAAAAAACACATCATAAGTTTTCAAAGCAATATATTCCTAGCTGTGACTGAAAAAGAAAACCTTTCCTTTGGATTAATTAGTAAAAGAATGACTAGGATAAAGTCTATAGCCATTTACTTCAGTAAGAAATTTAAATCACCCTGCAGAGTCATTTAGGGTTCATTTGCATCACTTTTGGCAATGGCTTAGGCAGTGGTTTTCCCATCAAAAACCCTTTTTTCTAGTTGGCATGACATAAAAAGTGAAAAATTTTGTAATATTTCAAAGACTATGAAATAAGAGAGCACACTCTGCTTCCTCAAGTCGCAGACAAGTGTAGTTGCAAATCCTTCTTCTGTGGCCAAAGAACAGTGAAGAGGTTTACTATGGAAGGATTTACCATGGATTTCCTCAGAGTTTCTCTCACTTCCAAAGGCAACATGGTCTCTGGTCTCCCTGGCCACACAAGGATTCCGTGGTCAGCTGGGTGAAATACACTAATGTTGCAAGATTGTGCATGTAAGATCATTGTCAAGTACATCTTCAGATGGAAAATTAGTGA